>NC_000004.12:80436532-80588047 GCF_000001405.40 Homo sapiens | reverse complement strand
ACATCTCTGCCTAGCTTCTTCCTCTATAGTATCATGCTTCCATCATGCCACAACAGGTTTTAGATGAGAGAACTTTCTCAATAAATCGCTTGCACTAAAATTGGCATCCTATGCTCTGCTTTTAGGGAACCTGACCTAACATAACACATGGTATTTATGCTTTATTGAACATCCATAATGCAGTAGCCTGCACTTTGGGAGGCCCAGGCAAGAGGATAACTTGAGCCCAGGTGTTCAAGACTAGCCTGGGCAAAATAGGGAAACCCTGTCCCTACAAATAATAAAAAAATTAGCTGGGTGTGGTGACACATGCTGGTAGTTTCAGCTTTTCAGGAGGCTGAGGTGGGAGGATACTTGAGCCCAGGAGATCTTGGCTGCAGTGAGCCATGATGGTACCACTGCGCTCCAACCTGGGCAACAGAGCAAGGCACTGTCTCAGAAAAGAAAAGAAAAAAAACCACCTACCAAGTTTTAGGCTTAGATGTGCTTTACACATTATATAATTTTATTCTATAAATATCTCAGCAGTGTGAAAATTATTATCCCCATACTTTGGGTGGGGAAACTCAGGCTGTGTTGAGTTGAGAAATGTGTCTTCAGCTTGTGATAAGTAGAAAATCCAAGATTCAAACTCAGATAAGATGACTCCATAACCTTCGCTCTTTCCTGCACTTCTCACTGCCTCTGTATCAAATTTTTATCCAGGAAATAAGGAAATTAAAGATCTATCCAGCTATAGTTTTTCTGGTGAAATAAATGTTGATATACATTTTCCCCCAAACGTTGATGTAATTTATTTAAAATGAGGGTAAGATTGTGTGAGTCATATAATTTCCATAAGGGTTTATTAGTGGACAAGCATGAATTCTATTAAAAAAGAAATAAACATCTGTATAATACCTTCATTTTCTTTAAAGGGAACATTTTATAAAAGTTGGAAAATAGGAAGGAGGGAAAAGATCATGTCAGCACAATGTTATTGGTCATATACAACGCAATCTTATGTTTCATAGAGATTTCAACACAGGAAATGGGTATATTAGGAACCACCTAATTCATAGGTTTTCCTGACCCAGGTACAGTGGTTTCTTTGAATGACTCTGAAGGAAAAGCTGTAGGCAATGTTTTTTTACTAGCTTCAATAATGCATATTTCAAAGCCAAAACTAGTCATCCATGTGACTGTTTACATAGTCAACATTCAGTGGGAAAATAAGTGTCAATGGGTCTCACTTTTCCCACCCCGAACAGCATGTGACCTCTCATTATAATCTTCATGAGTCTTTGATTAGAAAGGAAATGTTTTATTTTTTTTCACTCAACAAATCAGGGATTCTTAGTTTACTACCATTTGAAAAATAATTATCTCCTCTCCCAGCTGCTTGTTCACTAGAAAGAATTACATAATCCTATTATATTAGAAGCACTATAGGGAGGACCCATGTTCTATACATCTTTGTTTTTGGCAAATAGTAAAGCGGTTTGCACAGACTATAAGTTAAAATGGACAGTCGTTCCTACAACACTAAAAAAATCTATAGTGTTTCTTTAAAAAATATTCTGATAGCTATAATATCTTACATTGATCAACAATCTTTACATCTCTAATAAAATCTATAAGCAACTGTTTGTCTCAAAGAACTGTTTCAACTATCTTTTCTAAAGAGAAATTCAAATCCAATCAATGTTTTCCTTAAAGACTAGCAGCAAAAGTATTGCATATTTTCTATATCTATTTTATTCACAATTATAGCTTTAGCAGTTATAACACTCCTTTATTATAAAATTTATTATATATTAAATAGTTGTCATGTATCATACAGTGTGACAAATATTTAATCTATATTTTCAATAATAAATATTAAGATGAGGTTACTCTTTTAATTCCCACCTTACAAAGAAGGAAATTGTGGCTTAGAAAATACAGTAATGTCCTTTTGAAATCCATAATACTTGGTAGGCAGTGAGTCTGGAACTTCAGTCTAGTTACTGTCTACCTCAAAAATCTGTTTTTTAATCACTGAACTATACTAAATCCTCTAAAGCCAGGATTATATGTCTTTCCATTATTAAAATTATTATCAGCTGCTCACTCTCCACTGAATCCTACAAATCACTATTTCTTACATAAAAACAAGCACATGGTTTCCAGATTTTATCTCCTAAGTAATCACTCAATCTATCTTTATCTTCCCATTCATTCTGTCATTTATTTATCCCAGGCTTCTATTATGCATCTATTATGTATTGCCTGAACTGTTACAATGGCCTCTCAGTTGACCTCCCTGTCTTATATATCATTCCCTATCTCTATGGAGACACACTTATCCCCATATACTGCTGCCAGTGTACTCTTAAGTTGCATGTCTGATCACATTAACCATTTGTATACATTATTTTAAGGACATTCATCACCTTCATCTCAGTAGCTCTGTCCACACTACTGAGCACAGCAACATAGCCCTTAGACCTGGCTGTTGCCCATCTCTTTGGCTTCATTGCCTCCTCTCCCACATTTATTTGAGAATTATTTACCAAGTAAAATTGACCAGGGTTGGTGACCAAATGGATGTGAGATCTGATAAGTGGAAAAGGAAAAAAATAACTTAGTAATAGAGCAAATGTTGAGCATTTGAGGGATAGCAATATGGAGGTAAACTTTGGAGTAGAGTTCAGATCTTTTTCTCCAGCTTCTTAACATCTGAACATATTCTTTTGTCAAAAACAAATCAAATTCAGTATGTTCAAAATCAAACACATGATCTCTGTGCCCTACTTCTGATCTTTTAGTACACTACATTTCAGAGTGGCAGTACCATCTATCTATCTCCAAAGACTACCCTCTTTCTTTCTATCCCTTCCTTAACTATATCCTATCACAGCATCCTGCCAAATTTGCCTTCTAAATAGCTCTCAAATCATTTCTCTTCATCTGATTTTGCAGTGCATCTGCTGGCATCCGCTTTATCCTTTCTATAATTTATTCCCTATACTAAAGGCACACTGATGTTTTCTGTCTGAAAATCTGATTATATCATCCTCTACCCACTTTCACACAATCAGAGATTTTTATGTTTTTCCTCCATAGCACCTGTCACATTGCATTTTGGCTTTATTTCTATACAAATAATGATTATTTGATTATTCATTTTCTGCCCCAAACAACTGTAAGCTCCATAAGCACTTGCCACCCATTGTATCCCAAGCAGTTAGTACGATGCCTCATATAGAGCCACTTATCACTACCTGTTTAACGACTAAGTGAAAAAACATAATTAATAGATGAAAAAAAATCTAGGTTTCTGTTTTTGTAGCAGGAAACAGAATCAGTAGGCTCATGGGTTTTGTTGATTCACTAAGGGAAAATGTGTATAGTAGAAGAGATACAGGTCAACTGGAGGTATAAGATGATCCGCCCAAGAAAGAGATTGAGTTAAAAAGTCAGAAGAAAGTAGAAAAACTATAAGATAACTATATCACAGACACCAAGGAAGGAAATAAAACAGGTTGATCTGCTCTGTAAATACCTCAGAGTAGTCTGGAAAGAAATTGGAAATTATTGTCTCAAAATAATCCATTTTACCTCTCTAATTTTTAACTAGTATTTTCTTCAATTACCACATCTTGACCTCTAACATTTTCCTTAGTCTCTATCACATACATGAAATACTCTTAAGATGTACATCTTCATTAAAGCATCCTCTGCAATTCTACCATTCCTATTGCAACATTTCTGGAGATTAAATTATGTCCTAGTCTTAGCCTCGTTTAAATATTTAATTTCTATAACTTTTCCATTGACATTTCTGAGAAAATGCATTCGTAATAGCTCATATATTCATTCAGACTTTTCTGCTGTGATTACTAAAGCTGTCCAAAGTCTAGTCTCTGCCCATATTTCCATCCTCACCCTTTTAAAACCTCTGTCAGCCTACTTCCTACAAGAAATTTTCCCTTATTTTAAGTCGGGGTTAATTCTATTCTATTAACTAAACATGGTATGATTTTTTTCTCTCTCTGAACTACATTGAGGGTTTTGCCTGCATGTGATATTTTCAGTGGACCTGATAGTGGGAAAAACTCCAAATTTTTTATTGAGAAAATATTGGTAGAATAGATCTCCTTATATACATATTTTTCTGTTGCTCTAAATTTTTTATCACACTATTTCTGATTATTTTTCTGTAAGTCAGTCACTTACTACAGTTTTAGCATGAATATTTGCCTTTTCTATTAAATTTGATTTGGAACATGTTAAGACTTACAAAGACTGTTATCACAAATATCATATTAACAAAGTGTGAAAGTAAATCTTTATTCCAAATAATATTCGCATTCTCTACATATTTGATATAGCACACATTTTAATAAAGTAAAAGTATATTCTCCTTGGATCATTCAAAATAATAATGATAACACAGTTCTTCTACTACGTGATTTGTATCCCATCTTCCAAGGTAGGACTAAAAGGCAGACTATGGTACTATATTCTAGAAGTCACATAAAATCAGGGGACAAAACTTAGGGTCAGTGGGTGATGCAACTTGGGAGAATGTAAGAAGAGGTTAAGTTTAAAAGAAGCAGGAGGGTTTACCCAGGTTAAAGAACCATTCTGCCATGCATAGGCATTTTCTCTGCAATGAATGTTTAGAATCCTTTTTCTTTTTAACTATTTGGCTACTTCTAGAGATGTAAATGATAATTTTTAACTTTCTATGTATATTCCTATAATATATAATTAATAAAGAGGAATCATATTTTATATCTTGTAAATTACTTTAAGAAAGATATTTAATGTTACATTTTTTAATATTAATTGTGCATTTAGTGTATACATTTTAAGCTGTTGGATGAAATGTACTTACACTCAGTTTTCCACTGCGATTGTCTTCTTCTCTCATTGCCAGGGCCGTCAGAAAATTATCTTGTAGGTCTTTACCAGCACTTGTTAGCGTCCTGTAAAAGGCAGATCTTCAGTTATAATATATTAGATAACAAATATGTTTCCAACACTCTGGAGCCAACAACAATGCTTCTTTAAGTGACAATTTCCTTGCAACATGAAAACCATATAAATAAAATCATGATCTACTAGATTCCTCAATTTAATTGTATATAGTAATAGAGTCTTTATTTATAAACACTTGGAATCAAGCCTTTAAATAATATATCCATATCAAGACTCATGGCAGATATAATTTCATTTACATGCCCATTTCGTTCTTTTTTAACATATCATGAAAAGTCAACATGTTCGTATGGCTCACTTCTCACAAAAATTTTAAATTGCCTATAACTTTAGTACAGTTTATTAATTTAAGGAAATTAAAATACTAGACACCTATGCTATGCAGTTACTGGAGTAGAGCATTAATTTTAGCTCTATGAGTAGAGATAATCAAGGCAGGAAACGAAACTAGGTTGACCTATCTTTGTCAGATGAAAGGAAGCATCAAGAATTCAAAAAATATCATTCTCTGGAAATATATTTTAAAAGAAATGTATCACAAAGATCTCAATCAAGCAAAACTGAACCACATAATAGTGAGTTCAAGAGTGATTTGTGAAATAATACTATTTTCTTTATTTAGCAATTTCTTACATATTCCACAAACTTTTTCATTATGTGTCTGCTATGAACCAGTAACTGTATCAGGGCACAATGATGCACAAGACATAGTTCCTGCTCTCAAGTTGACTATGGTCTCATAGAGGTAAACAGATACATAAACCAGATATATAAACATAATGTCATACCATGTGATAACTGGAATAACAGAGATATAGACCGAGTATCAGAGGAGTTCATAAAAGAAGTATCTTATTCAATGAAAAGTCACTTAATCTCAAATTTAAAACCAATTATTCTTGAACTTAATGTTAAAACTTGAGATAGTATTAATCAGTTTGTGGGGTGGAAGGAGAGAGTTATCAGTAAATACAAAGGAATAAAGAAATTCAAATGTAAAATTGCAAGGCAATCGGGTAATGGCAAAACAGAGAGTAAACACAAGAATTGAGAGAGAAACCAGGTAATATTAATAGAAGTTAACATTATAATAAACATATTGTTATAAATATTTAGTAAGTCCAGATAGTAGAGTCTGGTCTTAGAACTCATTCTTACAACCCCTTTCAGGGAAGGTTTGTGTGCTCATGCTACCAGAAAGCGTTGAACCAAAAGGGTCTAATGCAAGGAAGCAAGATAATCAAATCTGTGTTTTAGAAACAGTATTCAGCAACTTTGAAAAAGGTAGCCTGTAGGAGAGCAACACTGCAGGGATTAATTAAGGGACTATCACAAACCTTTAGAAAGAGATGATGAATATCTGATTTAAAGAAGTGATGGTAAGGATAGGAAGGAAATGATAGATTTGGGAAATATTTAAGAGATAAAATACACCTAGTGATTGCTTTTTGCAAAGAGTTAAGGAGCAATTACTACTAGGTTAAATCATTGCAACCTACTGTTTATGTTATTGATCTAGAAATGTAGCTCTTTAAATTGATCATAACTTGTCTGCTTTTGCTTTTCTGGCTTTATCTTCCTCAGCTTGTCATATATATATATATATATATATATATATATATATATCTCACTTAATATCTATATATATATCACTTAATAATAAAAAACCTAAATATACATGGAAAATAACTACTAATTAGTACCAAAGGAGAGAATCAGATATTTGAGAATTTCTTTAATTCACTGTTCTGTCCAAAAGTGAGTGTTCCATGTTACGATATGTACTATGTACTATTTTAATATTAAATGTTTAAAACAGAAAAGTAATTTTGTCAGTTGCTTGTTTAGAAAATCTACATATTTTCTACTGCTCACAGGATAAGCTTCTAATCACTTATCCAGCTTCTACCTAATTTCCTGCTTATGGTCTGTTTTAAAAACCACAGTCTGTTGGAAATTCTCTGTGAAATTTGAACAGAGAATTCATTTTACAAGTACATAAATCAACAGTGGTTAGGTTATACTGTAGTAACCAATGGCCCAAATCTCAGTGGTTTAAAATTGCAAGAGATTACTTCTCAATAATAATATGCATAAATAGCAGGTTTACTGCGGCTCTTCATCTTGGGGGACTGAGACACTGATGAAACATCTTCTATCTGAACCATCTTTTGTTATTGTGCAGAGGAAAAAGAGAACATAGCCACACATTGTCTCTTAGAGCTTCTGCTTAAAAGTAACACATATAACTTCTACTCATATTTTCTCAGCCAAAGCAAGTGCTATGGCCAACCTTGAAATCAATGGGGTGAGAAAATACAATCCTGTCTAGGAATTTTTAGTAAATATTTGTGAACAGTAGCTCAGACACTCATAGCTTCCTATAGCATAACCAACAAAGGTTGAGACTAGATTGCTCAGAAAATAAGAGCAGGAAAGAAAAGAATTTCTGAGCAAATTCTGATAGTACAGAAAATTTGTTAACTTGGTTCACTGTAGTGTAACCAAGTAAAGGCTCTTTTGAGAATTAAAATCACTAATCCTAGCTTCAAAACCAAACCTTCCCCTACATACCCACAGAGCATCCTAAAAATTACAGTTGAAGGAAGGAAGTGTCAATAGATTTAGTCTTCTGTGACAGTTGTAGACATCTATTGCTTTTGCCTCCTAATATTGTTTCTTCCTTTTTATTGGCAACACAACCCTAACTTTCACTTGGGCAACAGTCTTTTCCACGCTCTTTGCCTTAGTAGAATCAAGGTACCCAATTACTTAGAACTCCCACCTCCCAAACCTCAGCTAATGAATACACCTCAAGCTTTGTCAATGTCATTTCACCTCATGAGAATGTAAATCTTTAACAGAGACACAAGAATGAAAGGTAGCTGAGTTATAGTGGCTACCCTTACTTCCTACTACAGTCTTATTCAACTTTGTCTTTGAATCTATGATAATCAGTGCTCTTCCAATTCCCTTTTTGATTTTGTTCATTAGAATTGGTTTCTGTTGCTCACAATAAAAACCTGTAATTGATACAATGACTATACAGTTAGGGTACTACAGAATTCCTAAGAGTTTCCACAAAATATGTCTACTTCCTACTCCCACTACCTTCCCAAGCATAGCTTATTTTGCTGTAAATTTTTAGAGCTTTACAGATAAAGTCCAATTTGATCATCAGCCCTGATCCCACAGCACAAAAGGTAATGATCACATCAGTTTTGCCTGTAGCCTTCAAGGTTTTTTAAATTATATATAGATATATGTCTACAATGTATCTATATATTTGTGTACTGATTAAAATATATATAGTATCATGTGGTCAGTTTTTCATTTTATTATATATTTTGCAACTTACTGTTTTATTGCTGTTGTTATAACTATTCCTGGAAGTGGATCTTTATGAAAGTTCCAAAGAAAATCAAAATTATCCCTGATCTATCAGATACAAAATGCCAGAAAAATAGATTTTTAGGCATCATTCACTAGTAAGGATGGGACTCTTAATATTTTGCTAAGCGTGACTCTCTTGCTAATGGCCGAGGTTTTCAGCAGATATCTGGGCTGGACAAGAAAATAAGGTAATAGGCAATAGAATTCTTACTGTCCCTGGACACTTAACTATGGCAGACACTGTTCCCCCTTCTTCCGTAACAATGAAAGCCCCTGTTTTCACTTGGGCATGTAGCAGCCTGGAATAAAGACCACATTTCTTAGTCTCTTTGCAGCTAGTTATGTTCATGTCACTAACTTTTGCACATTAAGAGCCAAGTGAAAATGATTTGCGCCTTCTAAGGCGTGTATTTAAAGTAGGGAAGGGTACTTTTTTTCTTGTAGCTAGAATGCAATATAATGACTGAAACTCCAACTGCCATCTTGGCCATAAGTTGGAGGCCACTATTATGGAGAAACAAAGAGAGGAGCAGGGTCCCTGATATTTCAGAATACCAACACAGCCTTGAGTGACACCAGCTGAACTTCTTGAATATGAGACTGAAAAGAATTTATATTTGCTTTCAGCCACTGTCATTTTGGGGTTTTCTGTTACTTTTTTACCCACCTAATCCAAAAAGATACTTGACCATTTGAAATTTGTTCACTTTTCTGGAAAAAGATGCTCTTGTGCGATTGGCTTGGTGATCAAATTGGAATTTAACCTTAGGTGAAATATTCTAAGAATTTCCCAGGAGACTGTATTACTTACATAACTAAAATGAATTTTCTAAGACAGTCATAGGTTAAGTCTATTAAATAATAGCACAAGATAATAAAAATTAAACTAAAATATAAGATGGAATATCAATCTTTAATTCCTACTCATTTATCAACTGTTTAGTCCAAACAACCACATTTTTCTGAACCTTGATTTCATGCTGTGCTAAATATATCTAGGCCCAATAGCAGATGTAAAACTTGTGGTCTAAAGCAATCATACTGTATCATTAACCAGCAAACATCATTAATATATAATTAGTCCAAGAAAATGACTATTATCCTGAAATATCCTAAGTTCATACTGTTCTTCTTTTATTATTATGCAAGTCTCGCATACATAGACTTACATCATTTCTTATAAACTCAATGAGGAAGATAAAAGTATTATATAAATTTGGGACAGAGAGGATAAGGATCTTTGGCTCCAAAGCTATCCGAAGCAGAGAAAAAAATGTTACATAATAATCCTTCTTATATTGTGCGACAGCTGAGAACCTGAAACTTCTTAGCAAGAGGAAATATTGGAAAAGAATGAAAGTTAATGCAGAGTGTGAGGTAAGGAATTCTTAAATCTTTAACATGCATTACTCTTATTTAACTAGGTTTATTTAACAGTCAGTGACCTAAGAAACCTTGCTTAAATAAATATTACAAAAGCAGTTACTTCCTCAAGAAGTGAAGTAGGTCTGTTTCAAAATCTTAGTGTTATAAGTTCTACAAAGGCAAATACTCCATCTTTATTGTTCATACTCCACTGCACTTTCAAAATGTGGTAAAAGTTATATGGATGAGTTAAATTTTACCAACCATGATTAATCAATAGCTAAAGCTATTTATATAATCCTACTTGAATGATTATAAACATATTATTAATCTTCAACAATTAGGTTACTGGTTTTATGATTT
Organism: Homo sapiens; assembly: GCF_000001405.40. NCBI lineage: Eukaryota > Metazoa > Chordata > Mammalia > Primates > Hominidae > Homo > Homo sapiens. The sequence goes on along the minus strand of NC_000004.12, from coordinate 80,577,958 downwards.
AAGTATGTTGTCTGTATATCATTATCACATAAACTGACATTATTAGCTTAACACTCAAAACGAATGAATAACAAAAGGAAAATAATTGGAAAACTGTTAAAGTAGAAACTTATTTTCAAGAGTTACTTTTTAAGAGTTTATTTTTTAAATAAATTCTTTCACTACATATTTGTGATATCAATTATTTTTTGGATTTTTAATGTATAACTGGAAGTGTTCTAACAAACAAAGTTTGATTAATCATTAAGATGTTTTCTAGGTCGGGCGTGATGGCTCATGCCTGTAATCCCAGCATTTTGCGAGGCCGAGGTGTGCAGATCACAAGGTCAATAGATGGAGACCATCCTGGCCAACATGCTGAAACCCTGTCTCTACTAAAAATACAAAAATTAGCTGGCGGTGGTGGCATGCACCTATAGTCCCAGGTACTCTGGAGGCTGAGGCAGGAGAATCGCTTGAACCTGGGAGGCAGAGGTTGCAGTGAACCAAGATCATACCACTGCACTCCAGCCTGGCAACAGAGCGAGACTCCGTCTCAAAAAAAAAAAAAAAAAAAAAAAATGTTTTCTAATAAGCAGTTTCTTAATAATCCCTAATTCAAATCTGGGATTAAATGTATTCTAACAGCAATACTTTTTAGCTATCGGGCACTGACTTTGTACTAGTCCCTATGCTAGACATTTTGCAAACAATTTTAATTATTTTCAAATAAACTCTAATAGGAAGTATATTTATAACTTCATTATAATCAGTTGGTATTCAGTTTTATTCTAGATTCACTAATTCTCAGGCTTTATTTCACTATAATGAAGGCTCACAATATATCAAAGCAGCATATCATAAACACTACATCATAATATTTTTACATTGTGAAAACAATGAGAATTCACTGGGGAGAAGGAACATAAATCAGTAGGGGTGTAGGAGAGTAGGAGGAGTGAGGTATGCAGACTTTATCTGGGGGTTCCCCTGGGAGTAATCAGAGTCGGCTGGTCTTGCAGTCTCTAAGGAAAGCTAATCAGCTATTATTGTCATTCCAGTCTAGACTGAAGTTCCATCAACTGTTCTGTTCAAAGGTAGATTTAATTTTTTTAAGCCAAAGAACTCCAATCTAGCCTATATTTCACATTTAGAGAATTTACATTCAACTCTTTCACACTTGTTTGAATATATAATGCAACCTCTCTGTGCCTTAGTTCCTTAAAATGTGTTGTATACTTAGTTTGGAAAAAATTAATGAAGAGCAAAGTGAAAAACAGTAGTTGAGTAAAAGTGTATTATACAAAATCTATAATGTTATCTTCTTAAAAAACAAACAAACACATCTATGAAAACATAGCTTACAGAAACAGTTCTATTTCCCACGGATAAATTTACTGACAGAACCATTTGTATATATTTATATTTGCATGGTCCCAAATAATTTAAATTCTATTTTTTAGAGGCCAAAATGGAAAATTATTTGCAAATTGATGAGAAAATATAATTTTATTTACCATAATATATAAACTCATTTGAGAGTTAAATATGGAAGATATGTTTTTACTGTATTTTGATATGGGGCACCTATTGCTCTATCAGACAGAGATAATATTTTTGTACATTTCCCAGAAAACATGACATTTTTCTGTTTTATCCTTTATATAAATTAGGAGAAAATAATTCTACCTTTCCACAGATAAAATTATTTATAATTCTTGAATGACCAGTGGGTCAATGAAGAAACTAAGAAAGAGATTTTATATATATATATATATATATTTTTTTTTTTATTATTATACTTTAAGTTCTAGGGTACATGTGCACAATGTGCAGGTTTGTTACATATGTATACATGTGTCATGTTGGTGTGCTGCACCCATTAACTCGTCATTTACATTAGGTATATCTCCTAATGCTATCCCTCCCCCATCCCCCTACCCCACAACAGGCCCCGGTTTGTGATGTTCCCCTTCCTGTGTCCAAGTGTTCCATTGTTCAGTTCCCACCTATGAGTGAGAACATGCGGCGTTCAGTTTTTTGTCCTTGCGATAGTTTGCTGAGAATGATGATTTCCAGCTTCATCCGTGTCCCTACAAAGGACATGAACTCATCATTTAAAAATATCTTGAAGCAAATGACAAGGGAAACACAACATACCAAAACCTATGGGATTCAGCGAAAGCAGTACTAAAAAGGTTTATAGCTATAAGCACCTACATCAAAAGAACACAAAAATTTAAAACAAACAACTTAATGATGCATCTTTAAAAACTATAAAAGCAAGAGCAAAACAAACCTAAAATTGGTATAAGAAATTAATAAAGATCAGAAATAAATTAAATTGAAATGAAGAAAACAATATAAATGTTCAACAAAAGGGAAAATTGGTTTTTTTGAAAAGATACAATCAGCAAACCTCTAGCCAGACTGCGAAAAAAAAAAGAGAAGACCCAAATAAATAAAATCAGAGTGAAAAAGAAGACATTAGCTGGTCATGGTGGCTCCTGCCTGTAGTCCCAGCTACCTGGGAGGATGAGGTGGGAAGATCACACGAGCCTGGGAAGTCAAGGCTGCAGTGAGGTGTGATAGTGCCACTGCATCCCAGCCTGGCAGACAGAGTGAGATCTGTTCTCAAAAAAAAAAAAATTTAATGAAAGTGAAAAAGGAGACATTATAACTGATACTGCAGAAATTCAAAGGATTATTAGAGGCTACTATGAGTAACTCTATGCCAATAAATTGGAAAACCCACATGAAATGAATAAATGTATAGATATGTATAACTTACCAAAATTGAACCATGAAGAAAACCAAAACATAAACAGACCAATAAAAAGTAACAAAATTAAAGCTGAAATTAAAAGTCTCCCAACAAATGAAAGTCTGGGACCCAATGACTTTACTGCTAAGTTTTACCACACATTTAAAGAACAACAAATACCAATCCTACTCAAACTATTCTGAAAAATAGAAAAGGATAGAGTAATTCCAAACTCATTCTACAAGGCCAGTATTACTTTGATACCAAAACTACCTACAAAGATACATCAAAAAAAGAAAACTACAGGCCAATATCCCTGATGAACATTGATGCAAAAATCCCCAGCAAAATACTAGCAAACTGAATTCAACAACATATGAAAAAGATTATGTATCATGACCAAGTGGAACTTATCCCAGGGATTCAAGGAGGATTTAGCATATGAAAATCAATTAATGTGACACATCACATCAACATAACAAAGGACCAAAACTATATCATCATTGCAATTGATGCTGAGAAATTATTTAGTAAAATTTAACATCCTTTCATGATAAAAACCCTCAAAAACTGTGGAAAGAAGGAACATACCCCCAAAACAATAAAAGCCAAATATGACAAACCCACAGCTAGTATCATACTTAATGGGGAAAAATTGAAAGTCTTTTCTCTAAGATTTGCAATAAGACAAGGATGCCCACTTTCTCCACTGTACTCCACATAGTACTGGAAGTCCTAGCTAGAGCAATCAGAAAAGAAAAAGAAATAAGGGTCATCCAATTAGAAAGGTGCAAAGGAAGAAGTCAAATTATCCTTGTTTGCAGATGAGATGATCTTACATTTGGAAAGACCTAAAGACTCCACTGAAAAACTATTAGAACTGATAAACAAATTCAGTAATGTTGCAGAATACAAAATTAATATAGATAAATCAGTAGCATTTCCATATATCAAAAGTGAATAATCTGAAAAAGAAATAAAAAATTAATCCCATTTACTATAGCTACAAACAAAATTAAATACTTAGGAATTAACCAAATAAATGAAGGATCTCTACAATAAAAACTATAAAATATTGATAAAAGAAATGGAAGGGGACACCAAAAAATGGGACAATATACCATGTTCATGGATTGGAAGAAACAATATTGTTAAAATGTTCACATTACCCAAAGAAATCTATGGATTCAATGCAATCTATATAAAAATATCAATGACATTCTTCACAGAAATAGAAAAACAATCCTAAAATTTATATGGAACCACAAAAGACCCAGAATAGCCAAAGCTATCCTAAGTAAAAGGAACACAACTAGATGAATCACTTTACCTGACTTCAAATTATACTATGGAGCTGTAGTAACTGAAACAGCATGGTACTGGCATAAAAACAGATACATAAATCAAAGGAACAGAATAGAGAACTGAGAAACAAATTCATACACCACAAGTGCATTCATTTTTTATAAAGGTGCAAAGAATATATATTAGGGAAATGAGTTTTCAATAAATGGTGCCAGAAATACTGAATATCCATATACAGAAGAATGAAACTAGACCCCTATCTCTCACCATATACAAAAATCAAATCAAGATGAATTAAAGACTTAAATCTAAGACCTCAAACTGTGAAACTACTACAAGAAAACACTGGAGAAAATCTCTGGGACATTGATCTGGGCAAAGATTTCTTGAACAATACCCCAAAAGCACAGGCAACCAAAGCAAAAATAGAAAAATGGGATCACATCAAGTCAAAAAGCTTCTGCACAACAAACAAAACAATCAACAAAGTAAAGAGACAACCCACAGAATGGAAGAAAACTACCCTTCTGACAAGGGATTAATAACCAGAATATACAAAGAGTTCAAACAATTGTATAGGCTGAAATCTAATAATCCAATCAAAAAATAGGCCAAAGATTTGAATAGACATGTCTCAAAAGAAGATATACAAATGACAAATAGGCATATAAAAAGGTGTTCAACATCATTAATCACTACAAAAATGCAAATCAAAACTATAATGAGATATCATCTCATTCCAGTTAAAATGGCTTTTATCCAAAATATAGGCAATAACAAATACTGGTGACCATGTGGAGAAAAGAGAACCCTGATACACTGTTGATAGCACTGTAAATTACTATAGCCACTATGGAGAACAGTTTGTACGTTCCTCAGAAAACTAAAAACAGAGGTATCATGTGAACCAGCAATCCCACTGCTAAGCCTATACCCAAAACGAAGTATATCAGTATATCATGTCTGCACGCTCATGTTTGTTGCAGTATTTTTCACAATAGCCAAGATTTGTAAGCAACTTAAGTGTCCTTCAACAGATGAATAGTTAAAGAAAATGTAGTACATATACATATGGAATAAAAAGGCTGAGATCGGGCCAGGCATGATGGCTCACGCCTGTAATTCCAGCACTTTGGGAGGCCCAGGTGGGCGGATAACGACATCAGGAGTTTGAGACCAGCCTGGTCAACATGGTGAAACCCCATCTCTGCTAAAGATAAAAAAAATTAGCCAAGCGTGGTGACGCATGTCTGTAATCCCAGCTACTCGGGAGGCTGAAGCAGGATAATCACTTGAACCTGGGAGGCGGAGGTTGCAGTGAGTCGAGATAGCACCATTACATTCCAGCCTGGGAAACAGGGCAAGACTCCCTCTCAAAAAAAAAAAAAAAAAAAAAAAAAAAACTGGGATCCAGTCATGTGCAACAACATACATGAAACTTGAGGTAATTTTGTTAAGTAAAATAAGCCAGGCACAGAAAGACAAACTTTGCTTGTTCTCACTTATTTGTGGAAGCTAGAAGCTAAAACAATTGAATTCACGATGATAGAGAGTAGAATGATGGTTACCAGAGGATGGGAAGGATAGCTGGGCTGGGGAAATGAGAATGGCTAACAGGTTCAAAAAAAAACAGAATGAATAAGATGTAGTATTTGATAGCACAACAGGGTGACTACAGTCAACAGTACTTTATCGTACATTTAAAAGAGCCAAAATAGTTTAATCGGAATGTTCATTACACAAAGAAAGGATAAATGCTTGAGGTGATGAATAATGTTGATACCCCATTTACTCTGCATGTATCAAAATATCTCATGTACTCCCATAAATATATATACCTACCCTGTGTACCCACAAACATTAAAAAGAAAAAAGAATAAAAGAACATTAAAGATGTTTCATATGTATCTGTAATGCTATTGAATCTTTACATTCCTTCTCTCAATGTATCATTGTGTATTTGCTCTGTATTAGGCAGTTTGGGCTGCCGTGGCAAATGGCATACACTGAGTGGTGTAAACAACAGAAATTTATTTTATCACAGTTTTGTAGGCTGGAAGTGAGGGATCAGGGTGCCAGCATGGTTGTGTTCTGGTACAGGCCCTCTTTCTGGCGTTCAGATTGCTACCCTACTGTATCAACATGGCAGAGAAAGCAGGAACAAACTCTGGTGTTTCTTCTAATAGGAGCACTAATCCCATCATGAGGGCCCAACCCTTATGATGTCATCTAAACCTAGTGACCTCCCAAAGCCTCAGTCTCCAAATACCATGATATTTGGGGTTAGGATTTCAACATATGAATTCTGAGGATGGGTACAGTTTAGTCCATAATATGCTGTTTCTCATTTTGGAACAAGATGTAATAATTTTCTACAATATATTTATTTTTCTACATACACTTTCTTGCTTATTACTTCTTTTGTACAACTTGAAACTACTTCAAGTTTTTTTCATCATGTGAGCTAAATTAGAGCATTTTCACCTCCTGAAATATGCAGAATTTAGTTACCAAAGTCAGTTATTTCTCTCCAGTTCTCTTTAGCAAAGTGGAAATAATTTCAAGCCAGATAACCACAAAAAGGCCCAAATGAAAAGCACCAAGGAAACTTGCCGCAAAGAGCATGGAAAAACTTCCTTATCTTGAATATGAATTTATATTAAAATAATATACTCATAAGATTATTTTGAGATAAAAACAAAAACAATACTTTAGATAGAAGCCGCTGATCACTCCGTCCTGCTCACAACTCCATTTTCCCACCTCCTACAGCATGGCTAACTACCTTCTCACTTTTATGATATTTACTCCAACATTTTCTTTATGTCAGTCTCCAAATTTTAGAATCATCACCTCACCTCTTTACATCACTTAAGTATGTACCCCTAAACGATATGGTGTAATTTTGCTTGTTTTTGAACTTTCTATAAATGAAACCACAAAGTATATATTTGTAATATATTGTTTCTTTAGCATTTCCACATGTATTTCTTTAGTATGTTCCACATATGTTGGTGCATGTAGCTGTACCTCATTTTCATTGTATTCTCGTGTATGAATATACAACCATTTATTTATCCTTTCTCCTTTGGGTCTATTATAAATATGCTGCTAGAATTTCCTGTACATGTGTACATTTCTGAGTATACATTTCTCAAAGATCTATGGCTAGCAATACAAGAGCTATGTAATAGCACATTTGTTAATTTCAGATTTACAAAATAAAGCCACTTGTTTCCAAAATTGTTGATCCAATTTACACTTCACTATGAGAGTGTGAAAGTTCATTTTGCTTCACACCATTCCCAACATGTAGTAATTTAGAACTTTTTAATATAAGCAATCCAGTGTGAGGTTAAGCAACCTCAGAGTGCTTTTAATTTGCATTTTCCTATTTTTATTGATGTTTTGTCATATTAATTTCCTCTCATGCAAAATGCTCATTCCAGTTTTTTGTCCACTTTATTATTGTTATTTATATTGTATTGTTTTGTAGGAGTGTTTCATATATTCTAGATTTTAGATTTTTATTTACTATATGCTCTGCAAATATATTATTTCACACGTAGTTTGTATTTTTGCTCTTATTGGAGTTTCTATAATTAAATCTAATTTGAATATATACCAATATATCAAAATTATTCATTGTTATAGACTTTTTTCCACTTTAAATAAATCTTTCTCCACCCTGAAGTAATCACTATATTGCCTATGCAATGTTTAAAACTTTAATGAAAAGAACCTTCAATGCCTCTTTTGTCATGTATCAAATATTTATATATACATAGATCTGTTTCTGGCTTCTCTATTTTCTTCCAGTTTTTATGTATCTGTCTTCTGCCAATATCACACTGTCAATGACTGAGCATTTATGATAAATGTTGATGTCAAAAAAAGAACTCTTATCCTTTCTTTTTCAAAATGTCTTTGATTTTCTTTGTATCACTACCAAATTTTTAAAATATATTTGTCAACTTCCACTTTTAAAAAGCTCTTGGAATTTTTATTTGAATTTCCAATTTGTAAAGAATAAACATCTTTATGATACTGTAGCTTCCAATCATGAAGCTAAAAATAGTGTCTCACTACTTATTTATGATTTTTAAAGTTTTTTCAATAAAGTTTTATTGCATTTGTTCTTAATAAGTCTTGTACATCTTTTGTTAGATTTATGTCTAACAACAGGATATTACTATTAATGTGGAAAGTTTTTTCTTTCATTTTCTGCTTGTTGATTGTATGTAAAATAAAACGTAATTTGTATATTACCTTGCATCATGCAATTTTGCTAAACTCTCTCATTATTATTCCCTACTAATTTTAATTCCTATCCATTAGTTCTCTTTAATTTGACATGCAGATTTTAATTTCCTCATTAGTCATTTTATCTTTGTTGTGAATTACAAACCAAACCTCACACTAAGTTAAAATTTCTCAAAACTTTTTCTTCTTTTGTCTTATGTTATAACAGTAAAAGAAAAAAAGCTAGTTAAAATTATCTAGAATATTTTTAAACAACTTTACATTATAGCATATTTATAAAGAAATATAGTAATATACTTTTCCAATATAAATGGTCAACTATACACCATTTGCCTGAACACCCAAGCCAAACTATGTGGAATCCTCTGAGATTTTATTCCTCCCTGTTCACATCCAAAATTCACTTTATCAGTCAGAGTCCCAACAGAAAACAAATGAAACACTGAAAGAGCTTAAGGGGAGAGAGTATAATGGAGCTATCAACAGGGTTCAGAATGTTCACAAAGGGTGATGGAAACACACAAGAATTAGCCACAATGACGGAGTAGGAAGCTCTTCTCACCCTCAAGCCTGAGGAGACAAAGAGGGAGTGTTGCTAACAGAGCCTTAGCTGGCTGGCTACCTGATAGGCAGTGTGGTCATGTGTAGAGAACATGGCCACCAATAAAACTGTGGTCCAGTCTCTATCTCCTCCTGCTTTACAATTTACTTACTGAGGCTATAGTACACAGAGATTATCCTCTGGGGCCAGAAACTTATCTTTTGATTTGCCATTAACCTAATTACATGTACACTACAGCCATTGCACAGTTCCCTGTGCCCTTGATAGCCCTCAACCCTCAGTCTAAAAGGTCCTTCTTCCCCCTCTTCTCTAAAAACGTCTATACAAGACTCAAAAATCATGTGCTCCATAAATCATCTCCTTCATGCCATCCTTTCTTCTTTCTCCTCTCCATACAGGAAGCCAGGAAAACTGAGTACCTTATATTTCAACGTAGTCTGCAGTAAAGACTCAATAAATTGTATTTTGTTACTATAATATATAACATAAATTAATGCAATCCACTATATTCACTATCTTAAGAGAAAAATAATGTGATCACCACAACATAGGCTTGGAAAAGGCTTGACTGTCATCTCTCTTTCAACAACTTTTATTTTTGATATTGTTGTCATTTTTCTTTTAGTTTTCTTGAAAGTAAAGAGAAAATTGATTAAATTTACAAAACTTTGGTTGCGATTTTTCTAGGATTAATTTTATACCATTCTAGTATTCACATATTTCAGAGAATAACAAAGGAAACATGATACATAGTTTTGCAATTTTCTAAATAATTAAATTCTAATCACAACTTATTCAATTCTAAGTTTAAATTTTGATGTAGAAGCTTCAATGTAACTGACTGGATTATAAAAAATGTAGACCAATTAGAAGCATACACATATATAAAATAGGTTCAGTATGTTTGTATAATATTAATTGATCAGAATAACACACACTCATTTTTCCCTAAAAGTTTTTCTAACTCATTTTTTCTAACATTTTAGAAACAAACTTTTATTATTGTTTTTTAAAAATTTTACACCAGTCATCTTTTCCTCAAAATTTTTGAAGTTATTTGTTGAATTAGCAGAAAATGAATCTATAATTAAAATGAAAATAATTATTTTTTAAAAGCGAGGCTTTCACTGATTTAATAATGCATATTACATTTTAATTGATTCAAATATACATTGTATTAGGATATAATATAAACTTTTAAAATAATATATTTTGCTTACATTTCACAGTTGCAAAAATAAATGAAAATTTCAAGCATCATTCTAATTATGTATTGGTTTCCTAGACTTTAAACAACTTTTCGTTTGTATTTAAACAACAAAATCTTATGTACTTATATATATATATATATATAAATACATTAGAATAGCATTTTTAAGTGAAAATTGCATAGAAGGAAAATGGCAACCAGTGAACAATTTCAGCTCCTTTCCTTTGAGCATCAATTCAACAGACAATCCGCCTTTAATCTCTGAGAGATTATTATTTAAACACGAAGGGAGAGAACAGTAGAGCTAAATCCGATATGTGCTTTTTTAGTCTCCTCCCCTTTTTTTCGTAAACTATTCTTAATTGCCTTTTCACAATTGAAACAATATTCTTTAGGAGCCAGGTTAGTCAGGGTTACATTTGGAGAGATTTGTGGTTTAAGAATTTTTGAAATACAGTGATCTCCATGGAAATTCCAAGAGGTCATCAATTTATATTTTAATAACTTTCAGAAAAGGAGAACATAACTTGAGAAATGAAATTCATTTATTGGTGAGAAGAAATGAGGGTCAAATTTCCACTGAGCAGGAAAATAACATCACTTTCCCCGTCTTTTTTTATGTGAAAGAGTTTTTAAATTATCAAATGTACAGTAAAGCTATCAGCATCTCTGGGAAAGATTTCAATTGTTAGAGGCACACAGAAGAAAGTCAAGAAATGTTAACATGCACACTAGACAGAGGTTTCTTCTCATTTTCTATCTTGAGGAAGATCCAAGTGGGAGTCTTCAGATCTACAGTGTCTTACATCAGTCAGACTTTACTTTCTTCAATGAAAACTTTTTCTTTTTGTTTTTTTTTTATTTTAAGGAGAAAAAATGGGTTGGCTTCTCCGTAAGAAATTGTCTCTGAACTCCTCATTTTTGTACATCTGGCAAGTTTCTCTAGTTAATACTTAAATATGGTAGGTCAAGATAGTCTCACACTTTCAGGGGATAAAGGTGCTTAGAGAGGAAATAGATGTTCTTTGTGTCTGAATGTGTTCGATTTCATTCTGAAAACACATTAAAACTTTACTTTCATTCTCTCCTCGGAGGCAGCTACATCTTTTATCCTGATTTGGAATGTACTTCCTGACCTGCTGGTTATATTTACACAAGGAAAGCCAATGAAAAAAATGAAAGCAAAGAAAGAAACCTCTTGTTTGGTACACCTGCCTCCAGGTCCCTCTCCATCTGTGGGAAGCAGTTATTACTCTGGAGAACGCTGAAACTGGTCACGAGCAAGTGAGGCTTTAGAAAGCTGAAGGTCCTTATGCTACATATGTCTAGTCTCTGAGTTTTTCTAATTTTTGAAAGATTCTAAATAAATACCTGGAAACTGTGGTAAAATGGGGGCAACGCTTTACCAGAGGAAAACAGTCAGAGCCCATGCTGCATTTCTCAGTAACTGTACACAGTGATAGAGACTGTCATTCTTCAGGAATTGCAGGCTCTTCAATGTTCAGAGCAGAGGAGTGTACAAATAGGGTAGGGACTGTAAGGAAAAAAGAGGGGTTTAGATAGGGGAGTTTGGGAAGAAAGATACTTAAAAAAATACTATTAGAAAGGCTTATTGCATGATACCCTCTGTATATGCCTTTTATTACTCCTTTAATAAAACTTGAAATACTGGGATATAAGTTTGACTCCAAGTGATGGAGAGAAAGACTGAGAAAGTGATAGAGTTGGATGGAAGTATCCTAGACTTCTATGGAAGGTTTAACAAAGCCATACAGGAGTTCTTGGGCCAAAGTCAGCCAATAAAGGGCTATGGCTCCCTGCAATGGGTTCACCTTAATACCCTGGCCACACTTAGTCACTGGGGGAAAGCAGCCCATGGTAGATGTCATGAGGGTGCAAATGCATCACGGATTTCAAAGAGTGATGAGACCCTAAGTCAGTTAACACTCCCTGTATGAGATACACTCACATCTCTATCACAGTCTCCTTTCATCCAAATAAAAAATCCCAAGGTTCAAAAACCCCAACATAACTCATTTGCTTTATCACAAATATAGTTTCAAAACAAAATTGCCAATATTATTATCAATAACGTGTTTATTCAAAACAGTTTAAGGCTTTTGCAGATCTTTTTTTTCCTTAGAGTATATCTCATTATGGATGTATGGCAAAATTACTATGTTTTAAAGTAACTTCAGTTGCAAAAGGTCATTTTTAAATAGGTATGATACCAGCTAGATACACATTTAGGTTCATTTATTTTTCAATGTTTAAGATATTTTAAATTCTTCTTTTTAATTATATAAAATATTCACAGAATTCTACAATGAAATCTACAACTTAAGATTTACAGAAGTTTAGCTTGCATCTCCCCGAGTCCTTTCTACCCTTTTATTCCCTTCCTTCTACATAGATCGTTTTTTAAAAAAAGAATTAGTCATATTGCTTTTCAACTGTTCATATTGTTTTTAATAAAAGCAAACATTCTATACATGTTTGCCTTGACCTTGCTTTTTTACTTAACATTATATTCAGGGGATTATGCCATAGTAGTAACAGACATTTCACTCCTTTTTTAGGTACATAGTACTTGATTGTAGGAATATACAATAGGTTAGTCACTCAGCTGCTGATAGTCATTGGGTTGTTTTCCCTTATTTGCTACGAAAAATACTGCTTGAGCATATTGCTTTGTGTATAGGTCATTTCATGTTTTTGCCAGTATATGCTTGGAATAAATTCTAGAAGGAAGATTTCCGGTCAAAGAGTACATAAACATTTTATTGTGTTCAATATTATAAAGTTCCTCTTTAATGGGATTGTGCCATTTTGTAGTCCCACGTACAGTTTTAAGAGTACAAGTTTTTACATCCTTATCAACAATCAGTGTTTCATAGTTTTCGTTATAGAGATTTTTCACTTCTTTTGTAAAGTAAATTCCTAGGTATTTAATTTTATATGTGGTTATTGTAGATGAGATTACTTTTTAAATATTTTTTCAGATTGTTCATTGTTTGCATATAGGAAGGTTGCTGACTTTTGTATGTTGATTTTGTTTACTGCAACTTCACTGAATTGTTTGCTTTTTTTTTGGTGGAGTCTTGAGTTATTTTCCAATATAAGATTACATCATCTACAAACAAGTATAATTTGACTTCCTTTACAATTGGGATGCCGTTTATTTCTTTTTCTTTTCTGACTGCTCTAGCTAGGACTTCCAGTACTACGTTCAATAACAGTGGTGACAGTGTGCATTCTTGTCACATTCCAGATCTTAGAGTTTCAGTTTCTCTCCATTTAGTATGATCCTAACTGTGAATCTTCATACATGGCTTTTATTATGTTGAGTTATGTTCCTTGTGTCCCCAGATTTTTGAGAGTTTTTATCATAAAGGGATGTTGAATTATATCAAATACTCTTTCAGCATAAATTGAAATGATTATATGGTTTTTATCCTTCATTCTGTTTATAGGCTGAATCACATTGATTGACTTGCATATGTTGAAACATCTTTGCATCCTAGGGATAAATGCCACTTGATCATAATGAATGATCTTTCTAATGTATTGTTAAATTTGGTTTGCTTCTATTTTGTTGAGGATTTTTACATCAATATTCATGAGAGATATTTGTCTATAGTTTCCTTTTTTGATGTGTCTTGTCTCATTTTGGTATCAGGATAATATTAGCCTTGTAGAATGAGTTTGGAAGTATTCCCTCCTCCCCTATTTTTTATAATAGGTTGAGTAGGATTGGTATTAACTCTTCTTAAATGTTTGTGAGAATTTAACAGTGAAGCCATCAGGTCCCAGGCTTTTCTTTACTAGGAGATTTTTTATTACAGCTCTGATCTCATTACTTATTGATCTGTTCAGGTTTTGGACTTCTTCATTATTCAAACTTGGCTGGTTGTATGTATCTAAGAATTTGTCCACTTCTAGATTTTCCAACTCATAGTTGCTCATGGTAGCCACTAATGATCTTTTGAATTTCTGCAGTATCAGTTGTAATGTGATTTTTACATTTCTGATTTTATTTATTTGGATAGTCTTTCTTTTTTTCTTTGTTACCTGGTTAGAGGTTTGTCAATTTTGTTTAACTTTTCAAAAACCAACTCTTTGTTTCATTGATATTTTGTGTTGTTTTATTCATTTCAATTTCCTTTATTTCTGCTCTGATCTTTATTATTCCTTTCCTTCTACTAATTTTGGATTTGGTTTGCTCTTGCTTTTCCAGGTCTTTATGATGCATCACTAGATTGTTCATTTGAAGTTTTCCCTCTTTTGTTATGTAGGCACTTATAGTGATAAACTTACCTCTGAGTACTGCTTTTGCTGTATCCCATAGATTTTGATATGTTGTGTTTCCATAATCATTTCTTTCAAGAAATTTTTCAATTCCCTTCTTAATTTCTTCATTGACCAACTGGTCACTCAGGAGCATATCATTTAATTTGTATGTATTTGTATAGTTTCCAAAATTATTCTTTTTATTAATTTCTAGTTGTATTCCATTGTGGTCAGAGAAGATGCTTGATATTATTTTAATTTTTTGAATGTTTTAAGACTTGTTTTGTGACCTAACATATGGTTTATCCTTGGAAATGATCCATGTGCTGAGGAAAAAAATGTGTATTCCGCAGCTCTTTGATGAAATGTTCTATACATATCCATTAAATTCAGTTGGGCTATCCTGCAGATTAAGTCTGATTTTTTTGTTGTTGATTTTCTATCTGGATGATCTATCCAATGCTGAAAGTGTGGTGTTGAAATCTCCAGCTATTATTGTATTGGGACCTCTCTCTTTAGTCTAATATTATTTCCTTTACATATCTAGGTGCTCCAGTGTTGGGTACATGTATATATATTTAAAATTGTTGAAACCTCTTGCTGAATTGACCTCTTTATCATTATACAGTGACCTTCTTTGTATCTTCTTATAATTTTTGTCTGAAACATTTTTTTGTCTGATATAAGTATAGTGACTCCTGCTCTTTTTTGGTATCCATTGACATAGAATCTTATTTTCCACGCCTTTATTTTCAGTCTGTGGGTTCTTTACAGGTAAAGTACGTTTCTTGTAGGCAACAGATCAATGGGTCTGGATTTTTTAATCCATTCATCCACTCTATGTCTTTTTATTGGAGAGTTTAGTCTTTATACATTCAATGTTGTTGTTGTTATTATTATTATTATTATTATTATTATTATTATTATTGAAATTGAGTCTCGCTGTATTGCCTAGGCTGGAGTGTAGTGGCATGATCTCAGCTCACTGCAATCTCCACCTCCCAGGTTCAAATGATTCTCATGGCTCAGCCTCCCGAGGATAGTCTTTATTTTTAATTTGTTAAGCTGGTTAGAGCCTAACAAAGGCTCTAATCTTTGTAGCTGGGATTACGGGCACCCGCCACTACACCCAGCTAATTTTTGTATTTTTGGTAGAGACAGGGCTTCACCATGTTGGACAGGCTAGTCTCGAACTCTTGACCTCAAGTGATCTGCCCTCCTTGGCCTCCCAAAGTGCTGGGATTACAAGCTTGAGCCATGGTGCCCAGCCTCAATGTTATTATTGATACGTAAGGACTTATTCCTGCCATGTTGTTATTTGTTTTATGGTTATTTTGTGGTATTCTTTTCCTTGTTTCCTTCCTTCCTGCCTTTCTTTTAGTGAAGGTGATTTTTTCTCTGGTGGTATGATTTAATTTCTTGCTTTTTAGTTCTGTGTATCTGTTGTAGGTTTTTTTACTTGAGGTTACTATGAGGCTTGCAAATACTATCTTATAGTCCATTATTTGAAGCTGAAAATAACACTGATTGCATAAACAAGCAAAAAGAAAACAAAAACTCTACACTTTAACCTCATTCCCTCACTTTTTAGTATTTTGTTGTTTTTATTTATATCTTACCACATTGTCCATGTCTTAAAAAGTTGTTGTAGTTATTATTGTTGATTGGCTCATTGTTTAGTCTTTCTATTTAAGATAAGCAGTTTACACAACACAGTTACAGTGTTATAGTCTGTGTTTTTCTGTGATTTGCCCTTTTGAGGCTATTTTCTAGATCTTGTAGGTGTGCTTCATGGTTTTTCATTCTTTTTTCTTTTGTCTCCTCTGACCGTGTATTTTCAAATAGGCTTTCTTCAAAGCTCTCTATTTCTCTTTTCTGCTTGATCTGTTCTGCTATTAAAGGACTCCAATGCATTCTTCAGTATGACAGTCACATTTTTCACCTCCAGAATTTCTGCTTGATTCTTTTTATTTCAATCTCTTTGTTAAATTTATCTGATAGAAGCCTGATTTCCTTCTTTGTGGCATCAAATTCCTTTGAGTTTCCTCAATACAGCTATTTTGAATTCTCTGTCTGAAAGGTCACACATTTTCTCCAGGTTTTGTCCAATACCTTATTTAGTTCATTTGATGAGGTCATGTTTTCCTGGATAGCACTGATGCTAATAAATGTTCTTTGGTGTCTGGGCATTGAAGAGTTAGGTATTTATTGCAGCCTTCACTATCTGGGCTGATTTGTAGCTATCATTCTTGGGAAGTCTTTTCAGATATCTAAAAGGACTTGAGTGTTGTGATCTAAGGTGTATCTGCTTTAGGGGGCACCCCAAGTCCAGTAATGCTGTGGTTCTTTCAGGCTCATAGAGGTACCACCTTGATGGTCTTGAACAAGTTCCAGGAGAATTCACTGGATTACCAGGCAGAGACTGTTGTTCTCTTCTCTTACATTCTCCCAAGCATATAGACTCTCTGTCTCTGTTCTGAGCCACCTAAAGCTGGGGGTGGAGTGACAGAAACACCCCTGTGACCACCACCACTATGACTGCACTGCATCAGACCTGAAGCCAGAAAAGCACTGAGTCTCATCAAGGCGTGATGTAACCACTCTCTGGCTAAGCCTATGTTCACTCAAGACCTCAGAGCTCTACAATCAGCCAGTGGCAAAGCCAGACAGGTCTGTGTCCTTCCCTTTAGGGTGGCGAGGTCCCACAGGACCCACGTGGGTCCAGAAACACCATCCAGGAGTCAAGGGCTAGAGTGAAAAAGCCTAGAATTCTACCTGGTGTTCTATTGTATTGCAGCTGAGCTGGCACTCAGACCACAAAACATAGTCCTTCCCACTCTTCCCTCTCTTTTCCAAAGGCAGAGGAGACTTACCCCAAAGCCACCAACAGGCCAGGCCCTGTGGAGTACTGCCAGACTACCACTGATGTTCTCTTAAGGGTCACGGTCTCTTTAGTCAGCTTGTCATGAATGCTGCTTGGCTTGAGACTCACCTTTCAGGGCAGTGGGTATCCCTCTGGCCTAGGGCAGGTTCAGAAATGCGACCCAAAAGTCAAGTCCTGGAATCGGGGACCCCAAAAGCCCACTTAGTGCTCTACCCACCTGTGGCTATGCTGGTACCTAAAGTGCAAGACAAAGTCCCCTTTACTTTTCCCTCTGCTTTCCCAAGCCAAAGGAGTTTTGCCCTGTAGCCACCATAGCTGGTAATGTGCTGAGTCTCACCTGAAGCCAGCAAGTCTAGAGGCTCACCAAGGCCCTTGACATAGTACCTGGGTATCACTGCTGGTATTCAGAGCCCAGGGGCTCTTCAGTTAGCAGGTGATAAATGCTTCCAGGACTGGGTATTTTCCTTCAAGGCAGAGGTTTCCCTTCTGACCCAGGGTGTGTCTAGAAGTTAGGACCTGAAACAGGGGTCTCACAACTCTGGCCAGTGCTCTGTCCTGTGGCTGAGCTGGTATCATAGATGCAAGACAAAGTCCTCCCCACTCTTACCTCTGCTCTCCTCAAGCAGAAGGAAGGGGTCTTTTTTGGAGTCACGGGCTATGCAGCCTGGGGTTAGGGGAGGGATGTTGCCAGCACTCCCTTGGCTGTCCCAGCTGGTGTCTCAGTATGTTATGTGATCCCTTAGTCCACTGTCTCTAGGCCTAGTTCAACACTAGGATTTGCCTAAGCATTGCAGTCCTTATGGCCTAGACTGTCTTTCAAGTTTACTTGGAGACACAGAGTACAGTAGCCCTCAGTAGTGAGGGGTGTGGGAACTCAAGTTCCAACTACTAGTTTCGTCAATTCTGTTCTGGCTAGGGCTGGTTTAAATGCTCCTTCCATGGGCAGGCATCTGCTGAATTTGGTCTGGTTTCCTTTTTACTCTAGCAGGATAGCAATGAGTTCAATGCCTCACAATTGCAGTGTTCTCTCTCCCCCACTGCCCAGAGATGATCTCCACACAATGCAGCTTCTGCCAGGGGTGAGGGAGGAGACTGGCATCTGCCACTCAGGACTGTGTTTTCTATCTCTTCAATGCCTCTTTTAGTGATATAAAGTTAAAGACAGCTACTGAGGGCTCACATGATTTTTGGTTCTTACACAGGCGCTTTTTTTCTGTGGAGGTAGTTGTTAACTTGGTGTCTTTTGGCGAAGAGACTATGGGTGAAGCCTTATATTCCCCCATCTTGCTCCACCTCTTCCCTTATATTCTCTCATAATGAGCTTTGCACTCCTGCATCAAGAAGTACAATCTACTTCCCCTTTCTTTGATCTATATATTATGGCAGAAGTAATACTAAAAAGTCCTCAAAGCTTCCACTTTTGCAGTTGGGAAAAGCCAGTTACCATGCAAGAAGTCCAACTACCATGAACCTGTCATGTTATATGAAAACCCAAACTAGCTACAAGGAAAGTTCACATGAAAAGAGAAACCAACCCCTAGCTGTTCCAGCCATTCCCAGCTGAGGAGATATATAACTAAAGAAGCCATTTTGAACATTCCAGCCCTAACAGATACCACATGGAGCAGAAACAAGCTACCCCAGCCAAGACCTGCACAATTTGTGGAGTAATGACCAAATAAATAAATATTTTTATCAATCACTGAGTTTTGAGGTGGTTTTATTGCAGCAATAAATAACCAAAATAGAAATGATTATGATTTTTCTCGTTAGTGCTATTTATATGATGTATTATACCGTTTCTTGTCTTCTACTGAATTACTCTTGTACTTTTAGAGTAAACCTCACTTACTCATGAGATATTATTTTTAAATGCAGTGTTCTATTTTACTTATTTCTCTATTATATTCATAAGTGAGGTCAGTCTGCAGATACCTTTTTAGATATAATCTTTATAAGGTTTTTTAATCTATGTTCTACACACTTCAAAAAATGAATTTAGAAGTTTTCCTTTTTTTTTTCCAATGCTCTGAAATAGTCTAAGTCGCATCTGGGATTATAAAATATTTAAAATTTGTTCAATTCCTATGAAATCATCTCTGCCTGACGCTCTTATTTGGTGGAGTTATTTTAACTATTCTGAGTCAAGAGTTAACCTCAAGTTTGTGTTGATCTGTGCCTTCTTAGGAGAATGACCTCTGGAATTCCTAAGCTACCTTTGTCAGGACTGCAGGAATTGATTTGCACACCAGCCATTTAGAATTTGGTTGGTTTTGCTTGCCACTAATAATCTAGAGAGCTATGAGAACTTTAAGGTTCCTGGCCAAAAAAAAAACAAACAAACAAACAAACAAACAAAAAAACCACAAAAGTCTTCAGTAAGTTCTGAACAGAAATTGTACATTATTTATTATTTGAAAAAGTAGGTGAGAATAAAATTGTTTAAATGATGTTTATTTCCAAGGTAATTCAATTTAATTAGTAATTTTAGTAGGTTTTACATCTTCTTTAGGAAACAGAGAGAAACTGTGACATGGGTTCAAAGTTTTAACGTTCAGAAAAGATTGGCCTTGTCATTAAGAAAATTATATTAATTGGGATTTCTCTCATACTAATTCAGTTGTGTTGACCATTATTAAAATTAAGTGACATTCACTTGGAGTAAGTAGTAATAAAAAATGTGAGGCTTTCTAGTGATTTTTGATCCCAAGTTATTTATTACTGATGGGCCTTCAAGTGTGCACTTGAAAACAAAATATGTGCAAGTGTCATTCTGGTTTGAAGATTTTGGTGGCGAAAGTTAGCTAATCACTTGTCAGTACTGTAACTGGAAACCAATCTTGGAAATATGTGATGATGCTCTTTTAAAGTAGCCGAAAAGAAATTATTTTGTGTTTGTTCTTGCTTTGTCCTTTTTTGTTGTTGTATAGTATTTAAGTAAAAGGAGATTATCTTGATACTGAATTTCCAAAACTGGTATTTGCATTAACTATTTTTTAATGATGGAGATTACGTAAAGTTAGTTGTCTTACTTTGATACTTTTGGCATGGGACCTAAGACATTTTTGATGGTTTTGGTCACAGTTCTGTCACTAGAATACTAGCAATCAGATATATGCAATGAGTAACCTAACTACTTTAATACACTGCTTTGAAGTACTGATGGCAGTAACTCCTAAATCACAGCGTTTTAATTTGTACGTGTTAGAGAGAATGATAGGACCTTCTATAGTATAAGTATCTTATTAACTAATGCTTGTACTGTTAAGTTACAGGTCTTTGACTCTTGGATCTGAAAAAGGTACTGACCCCCTGCTAAATTCTGAGCATTGACACCAGTTGAAGCATCAACAACACACTCAGGAGAAGGTGATTATCAAAATGAACTGCTTTTGTGAGACACAAGACCAGAAATTAAACTATCCAATTCTTCTAGGCCCAGGGACTGTCATGGAAGAGGTGGGTACATAAGATTGCAATAGCCAATTTTGAGTTACAAGGTTAGTTCAGATATTTTCTGTAAATTAAACATTAATATAGAAAGGACACTGATGCAAGGCCAGTATCTGGGGCCATGTGTTGGAATAACAGGACTTTCTTGAAGTGTTGATCTGTGGTTTAATAGAAAATTTAAAAAGGTTGTGAAAACCTTACCTTATGGTCAAACTGATTAAAATTAGACAGATTTGTTTATAAGGTTTTATTAAAATTAGCTTTAGTTATATACCATACAAAAGGTGAAATTTTGGTTTTCTCTTTTGAGCAAAATGTTTATGTAATATTAAGAGATAAGAGATTTTGTTTACCTTTTGGGTGAACTGCAGGGAGAAAATGGAGGGGGAAGAGACAGATATACTTGGCCTCATGCTGTCTTAAGTCTTATTGATTGGGAAAATATGTTTCCTCTCTATGAGGAGTAAACATAATTTTGGCTACTTGAATGACAATTTTATAGTAACTTGTGATCCTATTTTGTGATATCTAGTGTCTTAAACCTTTGAAATCTGACAGACTTTCCAACAGCAAAATTTCATGTTAAATTCAATCTTTTGACCTCAAACTAAACTTTTTGGATATTAAGTTCCCTGAAATCCAAGAGAGACATATCGGGCTTATTAGGCTTATTTGTAAAGTTAGAATTATACAGGAAGTACTGTCAAATCTGAGATGGTGTTTAGCTTCCTTTCGGTTATATTTATAGATGTGTTGTTCATATGTGTTCCAGGATTGTATGAGATTCCTAAAGTTCTTACACGTCTTAATATATATTATCAGTAATATATAATTATTGTGTTAAATTGTTGTATGCCACAAAAATAAACAAATTTCCTTGTCAACCATGTCTTCATAGCTGTCTTAAGACTTTTGTCATCGAAAATTTGTTTTTCTTTGATCCTTCTCAAAAAAGAGACTTATAATCAGCTACAGTTCAATCTTGCTTCTTTGGAGGAGTTCACGAAAAGGACTCTTAAATACAAGTTTTCTGATAACTTTGGAGATTGTGCCATTGGATTAGAGACAAAACTTCCAGGGCTCCAATTTAAAGGCTTATGTGTTCATAAAGATTGCTAACCCAATATGAAGTAGAATAGGAGTTGATTGCATACACTGAACTAATGGAAGACAAAAACAATTTGTATGGCTTTTGTTGTTTGAAATGTTGCTGATTGTTTTCATTTTGTTTTTTCAGAGTCTAAAGAATCTTTTTCTTTTGAGCTATTTATAGCCTTGAAATATACTTTAAGTACATTGAGTATACTTTTGTAAAAAGAATTTGAGTCATATTTCTGTCTGCCTAGTTTCTCCACAATTTGTAAAGATAGAAGATCCAAATAAACACAACTAGAAATGATAGGAATGTTACCACTGGCCCCACAGAAATAAAAATAACCATCAGAAACTACAATGAGCACCTCTGAGCCCATAAACTACAAAATCTAGAAGAGATGTATAAATTCCTGGACACATACATCCTCCCAAGACTGAACAAGGAAGAAATGAAATCCCTAAACAGACCAGTAATAAACTCTGACATTGAATCAGTAATAAATAGCCTATCAACCAAAAAAAGCCCAGGAACTGATGGACTTACAGCCAAATTCTACCAGGTGTATAAATAAGTTCTGGTATTATCCCTACTGAAACTATTCCAAAGAATTGAGAAGGAGAAACTCCTCCCAAACTTATTCTATGAGGCCAGCATCATCTTGATACCAAAACCTTGCAGAGACACAACAAAAAGGAAGACTTTATGCCAGTATCTTTTGATGAACATCAATGTAAAACTCCTTAACAAAATATTGGCAAACCAAATCTAGCAGCACATCAAAAAGCTAATCTACCATGATCAAGTAGGCTTCATTCCTGGAATGCAAGTTTGGTTCAACATAAGCAAATCAATAAATGTGACTCATCACATAAATAGAACTAAAGACAAAAACTACATGATTATTTCAATAGACACAGAAAAGGCATTCAATAAAATTCAACACCCCTTCACATTAACTCTCAATCAACTAGGTATTGAAGAAACATACCTCAAAATAACAAGAGCCATCTATGACAAACCCACAGCCAACATCATACGGAATGGGCAAATGCTGGAAGCATTTCTCTTGAGAACTGGAACAAGACAAAGATGCCCTCTCTCACCATTCCCATTCTACATATTATTGGAAATCCCAGCCAGAGCAATCAGGCAAGCGAAAGAAATAAAGGGCATCCAAATAGGAAGAGAGGAAGTCAAACTATCCCTGTTTGCAGATGACATGATTCTATATCTAGAAAACCCCATTGTCTTGGCCCAAAAGTTCCTTCAGCTGATAAACTACTTCAGCAATGTTTTGGGATACAAAATCAATGTACAAAAATCACTAGCATCCCTTTACACCAACAACAGCCAAGCTGAGAGCAAGATCAGGAAGGCAATCCCATTCACAACTGTCACACAAAAAATAAAATATCTAGGAATACAGCTAACCAGGGAGATGAAAGATCTCAATAATGAGAATGGCAAAACACTACTCAAAGAAACCAGAGAAGACACAAACAAATGGAAAAACATCTCATGCTTATGGATAGAAAGAATCAATAACATTAAAATGGCCATACTGCCCAAAGCAATTCATAGATTCAATGCTATTTCTACCAAACTACCAATGACATTCTTCACATGACAAAAAAAAAAAAAAAAAAACTAGTGGAAAACGTATATAGACTCAAAAAGAGCCCAAATAGCCAGGGCAATGCAAAATAAAGAGAACAAAGCTGGAGGCATCAAGATACCCAACTTCAAACTATACTACAGGGCCACAGTAACCAAAACAACATGGCATTGGTAGAAAAAACAGGCACATAAACTAACGGAACACAATAGATAACACAGAAATAAGACCACACACCTATGACAATCTGATCTTTGGAAAACCTGACAAAAATAAGCAATGGGGAAAAGACTTGATATTCAATAAATGATGCTGGGATAACTTAGCCATATGCAGAAGATTGAAGCTGGACCCCTTCCTTACACCATATACAAAAATCAACTCGAGATGGATTGAAGACTTAAATGTAAAACTCAAAATTATAAAAACACTGGAAGACAACCTAGGCAATACCATCCTGGACATACAAATGAGCAAAGATTTCCTGACAAAGATGCCAAAAGCAATTGCAACCCAAGCAAAAATTGACAAATAGGATGAAATTAAACATAAGACCTTCTACACAGCAAAAGAAAGTATCAACAGAGTAAACAGACAAGCTACAGAAAGAGAGAAAATATGTGCAAACTATGCATCTGACAAAGATCTAATATTCAGCATCTATAAGGAACTTAAACAAATTTATAAGAGAAAACCCCATTAAAAAGTGGGCAAATGACATGAAGACACTTTTCAAAAGAAGACATACATGCAGCCAACAAGCATATGAAAAAACCTCAGTATCACTGACCATTTGAGAAATGCAAATCAAAATCAAAAAAAGATACCATCTTACACCAGTCAAAATGACTATGATTAAAAAGTCAAAAAAATAACATATGCTGGCAAGGCAAAAAAGAACAGTTACACACTGTTGGTGGCAGTGCAAATTAGTTCAAACACTGTGGAAAGCAGTATGGTGATTCCTCAAAAAGCTGAAAGCAGAACTACCATTCAACTCAGCAATCCCATTACTGGGTATATACTCAGAGGAATATAAATCATTCTACCATAGAGACACACACACGACAGTGTTTTTACTGCAGCACTATTCACAATAGCAAAGACACAGAATCAACCTAAATGCCTATCAATGACAGATTGGATAGATAAAATTTGGTACATATTTGGTACCTATACACCCAGGAATATTATGCATCCATAAAACAGAATGGGATCCTGTCTTTTGTGGGAACATGGATGGAGCTGGAGGCTATTATCCTTAGCCAACTACTGCAGCAACAGAAAACCAAATACTGCATGTTCTCATTTATTAGTGCGTATGAGAACTCATGAACACAAAGAAAGGAACAATAGACACTGGGGTCTACTTGAGGGTGGAGGGTGGGAGGAAGAAGAGAAGCAGATAACTATTGGGCACTCAGCTTAATACCTGGGTAATAAAATAATCTGTACCACAAACTTCCATGACAGAAGTTTACCTATGTAACAAACCTTCATGTGTATCCCAAATCTAAAATAAAACTTTAAAAAAAAAAAATAAACCTATTGGCTATGTGCAGTGGCCAATGTCTATAATTTCAGCACTTAAGGAGGCCAAGGTAGGAGAACCACTTGGGGCCAGGAGTTCAAGACCAGCCTGGAAAACATAGTGAGCGCCCCCATCTCTAAAAACTTTAAAAATTAGCTGGACATGGTGGCACATGCCTGTTGTCTTAGCTACTTGAGAGGCTGAGGTGGAAGGACTGCTTGAGTGAAGGAGTATGAGGCTGCAGTAAGCTATACTCATGCCATTGCGCTCTAGCCTGAGTGACAGAGCAAGACTCTATCTCTGAAAAGAAACCCCAAACTACTGGTGTAGTAATAACCTCTTATTCAAAATATATTTAAATCTTTGTAAAGTCATCTTTCATGTTAGCAAAACATTTTTCTTTTTCCATAATCATTTTCCTCTCTACAGTTTTCTTTGTAATTTTTTGAACCATGCAAAAACTTATAAGATATATTAGGAGACTTTAAAGTCTAGATAATAAAATAAACCACTCATTTCCAATAAAAGCATGATGGCACATGCAATTCCAGTTGAGAATTTCACCTGGCTGGCTCAGGGTTACTGGCACAGTTACATCTGTTCTATGAAAACATTTAACAGGTCGAGGCCACGGAAAAGACATTTTTCTTTTTCATTTCCACTTGAAGACACTCTAATTTGCAAAAAATATGATCTATTTACAATTTCCCAATCACATAAGAAATCATATATGGTAACTTCAGTTGATTAGTACTATGTTTCCCATTTAAACCAGTGATATATTAATATTCTCTATTAGTAGATGTCACCAGGCAGTACTTATCAGTTATATTGTCCCAATAAAGAAAACAAACTACCTTCTATTCTTTGACCATTTGTATTTAAACACATAATTCAAAGGCATAGAATGCTTTTATCTTAAATAAATTAATAGTTTCAGCTCTTTTAAAAGCTTTCGGGCCGGGCATGGTGGCTCACGCCTGTAATCCCAGCACTTTGGGAGGACAAGGCGGGCAGATACCAGGAAGTCAAGAGATCAAGACCATCCTGGCCAACATGGTGAAACCCTGTCTCTACTGAAAATACAAAAATTAGCTGGGCATGGTGGCACGTGCCTGTAGTCCCAGCTATTCGGGAGGCTGAGGCAGGAAAAATCACTTGAACCTGGGAGGCGGAGGTTGCAGTGAGCCCAGATTGCACCACTGCATTCCAGCCTGGTGATAGACCGAGTCTCCATTAAAAAAAAAAAAAATCATAGATATATCACTTACATGGAAAGCTTTTATACACAAAAATTAAAGTCTTAGTCATATGAAGAAATCTCAGCTCCAATATTAGACAAATTATACAAATATATTTCCATGTATATAACTAAAACTCATTTCAAGGAAAAAAATGTTTTCTAGAACCATGGTACTATTATATATCTTACTATTTACAGTAGACTTAGTTGATATCTGGACTTTGAATATAGTATATGAATTAGAAATAACAATGTACATGTTATCATAATAAATATATTTCATTTACGTCTAAATATCTTTCTCTCATGCATTTTTACCTCTATCTTTCTATAATGTATTTTATTTCCAAAAGAACTTTAAAAATGTCCTATCCTTTACAAGAAACAATTGCATTAGGAAGTTATTTTCTAAAGTGTAGGCTGTTAATCATTTTGACATTGTTGTCAGCTGAAACACTGACTATAAAAATGTGATTGTTACCTACATAATCTAATGTACCACAAATACCGTTGTAAGAACCCTAATATGGCATATTTTATTGTTTAATAAAATTAACAAGTAATTGTCAAAGCTACACTTACTATATGATATTTGAAACTCCACAGACTAAATGATTTTTAAAAATATTATTGTTGCTTATATACTTTAGTTGAACAGTTTTCATGGTTATCAGAGTTTTGGCTTACACTGAAAGTCCACACCTGACCAAATATTGGCATGAATGTTTCAAACAGTTAACTGAGCTACCAGCAGCATGGCCCATGTCAATTATCCATCTTTAACAATATATTTTTTTAAGTTTCTTTATCAGCTTTCTGCTAAGTTTGTAAAACCCATTACTTTCAGGAAAGGAAGACAATGTAACTGAAAGGCTCTCCTTAAGCAGTTATAGCATAGTTTGGTATATATGAAGAGGCAATTTTTGTTTTTCAGATTTCATATTTAGGACTATGCATGTGTATGCGTGTGTGTGTGTGCGTGTGTGTGTGTGTGTGTGTGTGTTTTGAGTTAATACCTTTAAGTACTTAGAAAATATTGTAAGTTATATATATATATAGCTACTCCCTGAATCACATAGAAAGTTAAATTAGAAACATTGTTAACATCAGGATTAAAATGGTGGGGAATGAAGAAGAATCAGTGACAAACTCTAACATCATTTTCAATATAACTAATTCTTAACAGTAAATAAGAAACTAAAACCCACTTATAATCACTTAAACAAGAAGATGATATTACCCAACCAAATATCTAAAGACATTTAAGACTGAAGTTGAGACTTGGCTATAAAATGCATAATTTGTCTATATCAGATCAGTCAAACATATGTAGATAAAGGTGTATTTAAATATAGGGAAGAGAGGTTGAAGAGTTGCATATAGTGACCCAGGACTCAGTTGATGCAATCGCAATAAAACGAGATAACCTGCACTTCATATCAATCAACAAATACTAGTATTAACTAAATGTTTACTAGATGTAACATAATTCACAGGTCTTATTCACGATTTTATATGCCAACATGCCTAGTACATGTTTGAGCTCAATAAATGATTGTGGAATTGATAAATAAAATCTATAGTAATGGACAGATTAGAGGTGTATTGTATGAAAATTTAGGTGGCTGCATTTTTTAATCCCTATAATCATATACAATAATCATAAAATATTTAAATATTAAAAATATTAGAAGTACAAAGATATTTTGGGGATAGTTTAATACTTTAATTTATAACATAACCTAATATAAAAGTCAATATGTTATTTCATAAACTGATAACATTTAAGAAGTTTGAGTGAACAGAGAAAAAATTTGACAAAGTAATTTCTGTAGAAAAATTTTCATATTTTCCTTTTACCTTGTAACAATGAAAGTGAATTTTATAAAATATAAATAAACTGTGTTTAATGTATGTATCAAAAATTATATTTTGCATTGGATTTTTAAAAATATCTTCTTAATTTATAAAATACATGAGTATGCTCAATCGAATAAAAAAAGAATTCATTCAAATACAGTATTTAATATGAACAATTAAATACTTTTCTATTAGAGATCATTTACTCCTTTAAGCAGCAACTCACAAAGTATGTTCAGTAGAAGTCTGGGCCTACAAGAACTTCATCAAAAACGTGTCCACAGTTACCCTGTTGAAAATCCACAATGCACAGCAGCATATTTAAGGCACTGAAATGTTTTATAGTGAAGACGCTCTTTAATTCTCTTAACCCAGTGTTTCTAAAATTTACTTAACCATAGAATCACTCTTGTCTTTTCAGAGAACATCTGTTAACATGTGTAAGAAGTAAACTGCAGAATATATCTTTTTAAAAGTTGTGGTAAACATTCCAATAGTTTGATTGATACTGCCTTCTTTTTCACTCTTCACCAAGTCCTAAGTTTCCATCTATAATATATCTACAATCCATTCGATTTCTTCTATCATTTCTCCCACTGTTCTAAACCCAAACCATCATCATCATTTATGTTTATTATAATAGCATCTTAGCGAGTGTCTCCAAATTTACTCTCCAATCAATTTTCCTTACTGAAGCCAGAATAGTTTAAAAATTGTGTGTGTGTGTGTGTTACTTTCTTGATTAAACCATTTTAATCAATTATTTCTCATAGTGCTTAGAAAAAATACAAAAATCACAAACCTGTCTTAATAGATTTTGCTAGACATTTCTTGCCACTCTCTTCCTCTCACTACTCTCCTCCCACACTGACTATGCATACAGTGCTTGAAACATGTGATGATTTTTCCCACCTTAGGTCTTCCTATAAGTTATTTTCTTTGCTGAAAACGCTACCTGGAATTTTTTTTGTCTCCCTAACTCCTGCTTTTCTGTAATTTCTCTTTTAATGTCATGTCCTCATAAAGCCCTTACTGACCAACATTCTAAATCAGGCTGCACTGTATACAATTATACAATTTCCACGAAAGACAATTATAGAACCTGACAATACAGCATATAAAAACTAAATTTTATTATAGAAGATAGCAAAGTTAGAGGGTACATGAGTTGAGCAAATCATCATACCCTGATCAGAGTCCTAACACATGCAAACACATACAGGGAGATAGGAGGATGGAGGAGCCTCAGTAACCTCACTGGAATAAGACCAAAATATACTGCATTCATAGAACCTGAGCTTCTTATATCTGTTATGTAGGCAGATATTTTAAAAGCCTAGCTCTCATGTTTTATAATGGGTTCTCTTTTATTTTAGGTTCAGTTGGTACATGTGCAATTACCTGGGTAAATTGCATGTCACTAAGGCTTGACATACGAATAATCCCATCGCCAAGGTAGCGAGGATAGTACCTGATATGTGCACTTCCAATTTATGCCCGCCTCATATCCTCCTACCTCAAGCTGTCCCTACCTAGTACCTATTGTTTCCATCTTTGGGTCCATGTCTGTAAAATGTTTAGCTCCCACTTATACTTGAGAACATAAGGTATTTGAATTTCTGTTCCTGCATTAGTTCACTTAGCATAATGGCCTCCAGCTATTAATACATCCATGTTGCTGTAAAGGACATGATCTCATTCTTTTTCACGGCTGCTAAGTATTCCACAGTGTATATTTACCATATTTTCTTTATCTGGTTCACCATTGATAGGCGTCTTGGTTGATTCCATGTCTTTGCTATTGTGAGCAGTGCTGCAATGAACACACAAGGGCGTGTGCCTTTTTGATAGAACAATTTATTTTCCTTTGGGTATATACCCAATACTGGGATTGCTGGGTCAAATGGTAGTTCTGTTTTAAGTTCTTGGTGAAATCACTAAATTGTATTCCACAGTGGCTAAACTAATTTACATTCTTACCAGCAGAGTATAGGTGTTCCCTTTTCTTCACAACCTTGCCAAAATCTTGTTTTTTGACTTTTTAACAATAGGTATTCTGACTGGTGTGAAATGGTATCTCATGTGGTTTTAATTTGCATTTCTCTAATGATTAATGATGACAAACATTTTTTCATGTATTTGTTAGCGGTTTGTATGTCTTTTTCTTTGAGATATGTCTGTTCATGTCCTTAGCCCATTTTTTGATGGGGTTATTGGTTTTTTGCTTGCTGATTTGTTTAAGTTCCTTACAGATTCTGGCTACTAGACCTTTGTTGGATGCTTAGTTTGCCAATACTTTCTCTCATTCCGTAGGCTGTCTTTTTACTCTGTTGATGTTTCTTTTGCTGTGCGGAAGCTCTTTAATTTAATTAGGTCACACTTGTCAATTTTTGTTTTTACTGCAATTGCTTTTGAGGACTTAGTCATAAACTCTTTGCTGATGTCCAGAATGGTATCTGCTAAGTATTCTTCTAGGGATTTTTTAAATTCTTTTAGGTCTTACATTTAAATTTTTAATTCATCTTGAGTTGAATTTTATATATGGTGAAAGGAAGGGGTCCAGTTTCAATCTTCTGCATATGGCTACCATTTATTGAATAACAGCTGAATTGAATTAGAAGTCCTTTCCTCATTGTTTGTTATTGTTGACTCTGTCAAATATCAGCTGGTTGTAGGTGTGTGGCTTTATTCCTTGGCTCCCTATCCTTTTCCATTGGTCTGTGTGTCTGTTTTTATATGAGTACCATGCTATTTTGGTTGTTAGCCTTGTACTATAGTTTGAAGTCAGGTAGTGTTATGCCTCTGGCTTTGTTCTTTTTGCTTAGAATTGCTTTGGTGATTTGAGCTCTTTTTGCTTCCATATGAATTCTGGAATAATTTTTTTTTAATTCTGTGAAAAATGAAGTTTTAAGTTTGACTGGAATAGCATTGAATCTATAAATTGCTCCAGACAATATGGCCATTTTAACAATATTGATTCTTCCTATCTATGTTAGACCATTCTTGCATTGCTATAAAGAAACACATGAGGCCGAGCAATTTACAAAGAAAAGAGGTATAATTGACTCATGTTCTGCAGGCTGTACAAACATGGTGCTGTCATCTGTTCAGCTTCTGAGAGAGTCTCAGGGAACTTTTACTCATGGTGTAAGGCAAAGTGGGAGCAAGCATTTCACGTGGCAAAAGCAGGAGCAAGAGAGAGTAGGAGTGAAGTGCCACACATTACAACAACCAGATCTCACAAGAACTCATTATCATGAGGACAGCACTGAGCCATGATGGATTTGCCCCATGACCCAAATACCTCCCACCAGGTCCTACCTTCAACATTGGGGATTACATTTCAACATGAGATTTGGATGTGGAAAATATTCAAACTATATCACTATCCATGGACATGGAATGCTTTTCTATTCATTTGTGTCATCTCTTCTTTCTTTCAACAGTGTTTTGTAATTCTGCTTGTAGAGAGTTTTCACCTCCTTGGTAAGCAGCATTACTAGGTATCTTATTCTTTTTTGTGGCTATTGTAAATGAGATTGCATTGCTGATGTGGCTCTGAGGTTGAATAGTATTGGTGTATAGCAATGCTACTGATTTTTGTACACTGATTTTGTACCCTGAAACTTCACTGAAGTTGTTTATCAGTCCTAAAAGCCTTCTGGTAGGGTCTATGTGGGGCTGAATGGGAGTGGTGAGAGTAGGCATCCTTGTCATGCTCCAGTTCTCAAGGTTAATGTTTCCAGCTTTTGCCCATTTAGTGTGACACCGGCTGTGGGCTTGTCAGAGATGGTTGTTATTATTTTGAGATATGTTCCTTCAATGACTAATTGTTAAGGGTTTCTCACTGAGGGATGAATTTTACCAAAGGTCTTTTCTGTGTCTATTGATATAATCATGTAGTCTATGTTATTAATTTTGTTTATGTGGTGAATCACATTTATTGATTTGTGTATGCTGAACCGATCTTTCATCCAAGGAGTAAAGCCTGCTCGATTGTGGTAGATTAGCTTTATGATGTGCTGCTGGATTCAGTTTACTATTAATCGTATTTTGTTGAGCATTTTTGCATCTATGTTTATCAGAGATTTTGACCAGAAGTTTTCTCTTTTTCATTGTGTCTCTGTCAGGCTTTGGTATCAGAATGATGCTTGCTTCAGAGGATGAGTTAGAGAGGAGTCCCTCCTCCTTGATTTTTTGCAATGGTTTTAGTAGAAATGGTACTATCTCTTGTTTGTAAATCTGGTAGAATTTGCCTGAATCCATCTGGTCCAGGACTTTTTTTGGTTGATAAGGTTTTCATTACTGATTCAATTTCAGAACAAATTATTGGTCTGTTCAGGATTTTAATTTCATTCTGGTTCAATATTGAGAGGCTTTGTGTTTCCAGGACTTCAATTTCTTCTAGGTTTTCGAATTTGTAAGCACAGAGATGTTTGTAATAGTCTGAGGGTTTTTTTTTCTTCTGTAGGGTGGTTTGTAATAAACCAACTTTTAGTTTCATTGATCTTTTGTATGAATTTTCCCATCTCAATTTCATTCAGATCAGCTCTGATTTTGGTTATTTATTTTCTTCTGTTAGCCTTAGAGTTGTTTTGGTCTTGTTTCTCTAGTTCCTCTCTGTGCAACTTTAGGTTGTTAATTTGAGATCTTTCCAACTTTTTAACATAGGTGTTTAGTGCTGTAAACTTTCCTCTTAACACTGCATTAGCTGTGTCCCAAAGATTCTTTTATGTTGCATCTGTTTTTTCAGTTTCAAAGAATTTCTTGATTTCTGTGTTAATTTTCTTACCCAAAACCCATTTAGAAGCAGATTTTTTAACTTTATTGTACAGTTTTGGTAGATCTTCTTGGTATTGATTTCTACTTTTATTGCATTGTGGTCTAAGAATGTTGTTGATATTAGTTCATTTGTTTTTAATTTGTTGAGACTTGCTTTATGGCCAAGCATATGATTGATCTTAGAGTATGTGCCATGTGCACATAAGAAGAATGCATATTCTGTTGTTATTGGGTGAGTGTTGTATAGATGTTTAGGAGGTCCAGTTGGTCAAATATTGAGTTTAAGTCCAGAATATCTTTGTTACTTTTCTGCCTCAATAATATCTAACACTGTCATTGGGTGTTGAAGTCCTCCAACATTATTGTGTGGTTGCCTACATTTCTTCATAGTCCTCTTAAGAACTTATTTTATGAATCTGGGTGCTCCGATGTTGGGTGCATATATATTTAGGATAGTTACATCTTCCTGTTGGATTGAGCCCCTTATTATTATGTAATGCTCTTTGTCCTTTTTGATCATTGTTGGTTTAAATTCTGTTTTATCTGACATAAGAATAGCAATCTCTGTTCTTTTTTGTTTTCCATTTGCCTGACAGAACTTTCTCCATCTCTTTACTTTCAGCCTAAGGATGTCATATTTGTGAGATGAGTTATCTTGAAGACAGCAGGCAATTGGGTATTGTTTCTCTATCCAACTTGCCACTCTATGACTTTTAAGTGGGGCATTTGGCCTGTTTGTGTTCCAAATGTAAAGAGCTATATGACATTGATATGTGAGGATTTGATTCTGTTATCATGCTGTTAGCCAGTTGTTATGTAGACTTGATTGAACAGTTGCTTTATGGTACCAATGAGGTATTCCCTTAAGTATGTTTTTGTGGTTGCAGGTATTGTTCTTTCATTTTTATGTTTAGTATTCCCTTTATGACTTCTTGTAAAGCAGGTGTAGTGGTAACAAATTCCCTTGGCATTTGCTTGTCTGAAATGGATTTTATTTCTCCTTTGCTTATAAAGTTTGGTTTGGCAGAATATGAAATTCTTGGTCGGAATTTCTTTGCTTTAAGGATGCTGAAAATAGGCCCCCAGTCTTTTCTAGCTGGTAATGTTTCTACTGAAACATCTTCTGTTAGTTAGCCTGATGGGGTTCCCTTTGTATGTGACCTGACCCTTCTCTCTAGCTGTCTTAAGACCTTTAAGATTTTTTTTCTTTTCCACTGACCATGGAAAACTGATGACTGTGTGTCTTGGGGATGGTTGTTTTGCATAGTATCTCACATGGGTTCTCTGAATTTCTTGAATTTGCATGTTAATCTCTCTAGTGAGATTGGGAAAATTTTCATGGACTTTATTCTCAAATATAATTTCCAAGTTACTTGCTCTCTCCTTTTCTCTTGCAGGAATGCAGAACGATAAGATTCTTCTCTTTACATAACTCCAATATTCTTAGAAGTTTTGTTCATTTTAAAAAATTATTGTTGTCTCCCTGTGTTGCTTTGAAGGAGTGATCTTCAGAGTCTGAGATTCTTTCGTCGGTTTGGTCTATTTGGTTGTTGATGCTTCCTATTGTATTTTGAAATTCCTGTGTCAAATTTCTAATTTCCCTAACTTCAGTTTGGTTCTTTCTTAGAATGGTTATGTCATCTTTTGACTTTTAGGTTATTTTACTGCTTTCCCTGGATTGGGTTTCAACCTCCTCTTATATCTTAATGGACTTCCTTGCTGTCCAGATTCTGAATTCTGTGTCTGACGTTTTAGCCATTTCAATCTGGTTAAGAATCATTGCTGGGGAGCTGGTATAATCATTAGGAGGTAAGAAAACATTCTGGCTTTTAGAGTTGCCAGAGTTCTTGCACTAGTTCTTTCTCACCTATGAGGGCTGATGTTCCTTTACACTTTGAAGTTGCTGTCCTTTGGATAGGGCTTTTGTTTTTGTGATCATTATTGCCTTGAGCATTTGACTGTGGTGCCAGTTGCGTGTAGTTGAATGACTGTTTCTAGATACTTTCAGAGATTCCAGGCAAAGCTCTGCACTGGTGAACTGTGTGCTCTAACCCTAGGTGGCTGGGACCAGGTCTGTAACTTTGTCCCCTGGTACCTTGAGGTTGAGCCCTGGCTGGGCTGGAGGGTTTGAGGTGCTCCTAGGCCACTGGCAACAGCACTCTGTAAGGGATGGTGGGGGATGCTTGGTTGTGGGCGTAAGTGCTCCAGCAGGGGCAGCAGGGGCATGCAGGTGAGAAGCACTCTGGTGGGGCATCAGGGGCACCATAGGCAAATATGCTCCAAAGGGGCAGCAGCAGGGTCACACGCAAACATTCTGGCAGGAGGCTATCAGTAAAAGCACTCCAGTGGTATGGTAGTGGCCTCTGGCAAAAAAAAAAAACTATGGCAATGGCCACTGGTAAAAGTGCTCTGGCAGGGTAGGTGAGGCTACACTGTGTGAATGCACAGCCAGGCAGAGACTCTGGAAGGGACTGGCAGAGAGCAGGGAGTGCAGATCAGACTTGCCCTGGTCCCGTGAGAAAGACAGCCCTGCTCTCTCCAGGTCTGGCAGCTAACATAGGTCAGAGCCACCTCTTCCACAGGAGTTGTTCAGGGCTTGGAATGCATTCTGGTACTCCGCAACCCTGTGGAGCATTCTTGGTTTCCTCCTCCTTCAGTACCAACATCTGGATCATTTATCTAACCTCTCTCAGTGGGTTCTCTCAGATGGTCTGTTAAGAGTATGACAGTTTACTCGATATTCTGGTCTGTCTCAGTAGGAGAAATTCTTCCTGGCTGCATTAAATGGCCATATTTTCTCAAGCCTGATGATTACAAGGTGATGTCCCATGATAGGCTGTATGCAAACTAAGTAAAGAAAAAAGCTGGTAGCAGGGTTCAGTCCAAATCCAAAAACCTCAAAACCAGGAAAGCCAACAGTACAGCCCTCAGTCAGAGATTGAAGGCCTGAGAGCCGCTGGGAGGCTGCTGGTGCAAGTCCCAGAGTCCAAAGGCTGAAGAACCTGAAGTCTGATGAACAAGGGCAAAAGAAAAAGCCAAGCATGCGCCAAGGCACTAGAGAGAGTGAGCAGACTCAACAAGCAAACTACTTTGGATTTTCTTATTTTTCTTATGAATATGCCTTCTGTCCTTGATACCTTTTTTTTTTTAATTATTATACTTTAAGTTTTAGCATTGGGAGATATACCTAATGTCCTTGATACCTTTGTTCATGCACGGTAACGGCTCAATAATGGCCTAGTACTATGGTAATAGGTAAACAACTTGAAACTCCTACAACATTATTTTACATTTCCCATAAATTCATTGGATCCTTTTCTTTTTCTTTATAGCACTTATAACATTTATCTTTGTGTTTAATTATTAAATGTCTATTCTCCTCACTAAGCTGAATCTAGTGAGAGCAAGAATATCTTGCTGAACTCTGTATACCCAATAAGTAGCAAAGTGAATGTTTGTGAACAGAATAAATTAATTTATGAAGTACCTACTGCATCAGTTACTCAGATAGGACTAAAGATAGAAATATAAGACTATGTAGGTCTCATCCTTAAAGAGCTACAAATGCAATGGGGGAAGATAAAACATCAAACAGATAATTAAAGGAATTTGGTAAAATCTGTGATATACACTGAGTACCAAATAATCCTATATAAAATGATATATAATACTGCATCAAAAATATCCTAAGGTTCTTGTACATATATGCATATATAGGTCTTTAACACATTTAAAACTTTGATTGAAGTAACCCATCTGTTTCTTTGAAGAAATGCTTAATTCATACAATGATCGGAATTACTAACCACAATGAAGCAACATGGAAACAAAGAGTTCAAATAAACTTAACAATGTTTATATGGAGTTCACATAAACAGAGAAATTATACTTCTGCAATGTCTAAGGAGTCGGAAAAATCTTTACGTATGGTATTTCTCACAGTTATCTTCACTGTCATATGAAACACTTATTTTCTGTTCATATGTCTAAATCACATAAAATAGTATCTCCATTATATTTCTTGTAAAACGAAAAATATATTACTAAATGTCTTAGGGGAAGCAAATTTCTCTTTTTGTAGCAAGGTTTTAATTTGAATAAGACACAGAGATCGGGGTAAGAATTGAGTCATCTGCTTCTCTGATCCTTCTTTGTGGTTAGAGGCTCTGGTAATTATCAAGAATAAAAAATCCCCATCAAAGGAACAGATGAGAGTTTCACAAAAGTTGAAAGGGTTTGTTAGATAGTTCCTGCTAATCACTACAAAGGTTTGTTATAAGATATAAGAAATAAATACTTGGTGGCATTTGTGACATACTAAGAGTTCTTCATTATTTCTACATCTTAAAATATACAATATTTACTTTAGATCATGAAAATAAAACCTACACATGGAAAATATATATACTTCATCCTTCTGGTTGGAATGAGAGGTTTTTTAACTTGCTATCCATGTGTAGAAACACGCTGGATATCCTGACATATGATCACCAACTCTGCCTTTCCTCTTTTTATGTGCAAACAGACTTTGTTTTGGTTTCTAGCTAAAGGGGCTCATTATAAAGAATCATTTTCCTGTAAATCTCTCTGTGTCATCAGAATAGTCATAAAATTCTACATTTATCATTGTAGTTTACAAGCTAATTTGCCTACTGTTGTTTTCTGCCCTTGTTTGGGGTAATGAATTAATGTACTCTTGTAACATTATTTACTGAACCTGCTTACAATTTCTTTACTTCATCAAACAATAGAATAGCTACTGATTTCTCAAACTAGGAACGTTTCATTAATCCTAAAATGGTTAAAGAATATTTTCATCTATTGCCTGTCCTCTGTTTATTAAAATGAAATTCAGGAAAAATTAGACTCCAGAAATTCACTGCATACCTCAATGTTCTTAAACAACAGAATCTACTCTGAATAGGTTAAGCATAAAGGAAACTTATTGAAACACCTTAAGGAGTTCACAAAACTTCCAAGAAGGCCAGAAAGCTAGACTCACAAGCGACAGCATTTAGAAAATGCTCAGCTATACTGAATTAATTCCTTTGGCAAAAACACAATTGCCTGTGCACTTGACTAAGACAGCGCAGCTTTTACAGACTCCACAGTTTTTACACAAAATACTAAAACTAGATTTCAGATTCTCTCCTGCTGGCCCCAGGAGCTAAATGCTCTGCTAACCAAAAGAAGCATTCTCAGTCGGCTTGCTTCCCTCATCTTGGACACCTCTAAATCCAAATCTCCTGCAAATGCATTGATTATTCACACTACAGTCATATCTTTATGTCCTGGCAGCAAGACAGGCTAGGAGAATAACCTTTATTTTCTACTTTGGGGAGGTGTTCAAAATGTGTTTTCTTAGATTCTATATTTTTCTACTTGGCATCCATTAATCACAGGGCCAAGCTAATTGCTAAGGTTGTTTACATCTCTTCTATTATCCAGCTTTAGCAGTAGTATGAAAATCATATTACAAATTCTCCAACAAATTCCAACTCCATACCCACTACCTGCTTCCTGTATTTAACTCTCACACGCTAAGCCAGTATCACCTCTACCCACAATCAGCCTAAATCACCCAGAGCCAAGTACCAGAAAACTAAAGGCCCTACAGCCCAGAGCCCATTGGCATTATTCAAACTAGCCAATCCTAAGCTGTTTCTCCTCCCCTGCCTTGACTTTCCCATGAAAAACACAATAAATGCTCTGGGCCATGCTGTCCCTTCATTCCTGCTCCTGCCTCCTGACGAACCTGGTGCTTCCTCATGTGGTTCTGTGTGGCATGACATGTCCCCTTCTCCTGGGAAATGTAAGCAATTAATTCTTCTTTCAAAAGGCAGTTGTCTCCACGTTTGACACTGTTTTATACTTGATTAAAACAAAATACAGGGTATAAATTTTAGAACAGGAAGGCAAGATGTATAACCTGAGGAACTCTCCAAATATAAGGTGGGTATTCCAAATGTTGTATAGCTACAAACGTGAAAAATGACCAATATATCTACTAGGTAAATGAGATACTTTTACTAGTGGAAATTGTTTCAATTAATTTAATTTAGTGGAACAAATTGCATACTTCCCTGAGGAAATCACTATTAATCTTTAAAATTAACTCCTGAGTGTAAAGATGTCTTTGGAGCTGGAAAGCCAACTAAAAACCTATTAAGGAATTCACAAGAAATGTTAACTTTACTGTTCATAAAACAAGTTTTAAAGTAGCTTAATCTGAGAGTTGGGGAAGATGTAGCATTCTTTTACTAATTTTGGTTAATGAAATACAGTCTTGCATCACTTTACGGGTATATATTCTGAGAAACGCAGAGTTAGGCAAGTTCATCATGCAAACATCATAGAATGCACTTATACAAACCTAGATGGTATAGCCTACTACACACCTAGGCTACAGGGTATAGCCTGTTTCTCCTAGGCGACAAACCTCTACAGCATGTTACTGTACTGAAATACTGGAGGCAATTTTAACACAAAGGTAAGTATCTATGTATTTAAACATATCTAAACTTATAAAAGGTACAGTAAAAACACAGTATAAAAGATAAAAAATGGTACACCTGCATAAGGCACTCACCATTAATGAAGTTTATAGAACTGGAAGTTGCTCTCGGTGAGTCAGTGAGTGAGTAAGTGGTGAGTAAATGTGAAGGCCTAGAAATATTCTTGTATAATACTTAGACTTACATACACTGTACAGTTAAGCTATACTAGATTTATTTTTAAATTTTTATTTCTTCAATAATAAATTAACCTTAGCTTGCTATAACTTTTTAACTTATATTTTTAAAACTTTTTAACTCTTTTTAAATAACACTGAGCTTAAAAGACAAACATTGTACAAAAATACAAAAATATTTTTCTTTCTATAAGACTTTATGTATTTTTTAAGATTTAATTTTTATTTTTACTTTTGAAATAACTAGCAATGCAGGTTTGTTACACCTACAAACTTACTTACAGACACCTGAGTAATGCTGCAATGTTACAATAGCTATGTTACAATAGCTACGATGTCACCAGGAGACAAATTTTTCAGCTCCATTATGATCTTATGGGCCATGGTTTATGCAGTCCATCATTGGCTGAAAGATGATTATGTGGCACATGACTGCAGTCTTCATATGACAGATTTCAGAGTAGTTAAAATATTTTATTTTTGACAAAAATTTTATACATTTTCAGCATAGAACATGATGTTTTGATATATGTACATTTTGGGAAATGGTTAAATCAAGCTAATTAATATATTCATCACATCACCTATTTTTTTTTTGGAGAGAACATTTAAGATCTAATCTCTTAGCAACGTCCATGTCTACAATACATTATTAACTATAGTCACCATGCTATACAATGGATCTCCACAATTTATTCATCCTAACTGAAACTTCATACCTTTTAACTAACATCTCCCTATCCCTCCCACCTCAGTGTCCAGCAACCACCATTCAACTCTCTGTTCTACAAGCTCAACTCTTTTAGATTCCACATATGACTGAGATCACAGAGTATTTGCCTTTCTGTGTCTGGCTTATTTCACTTAACATAATGCCCTTCTGGTTCATCCGTGTTGTTGCAAATGATAGGATTTTCTTTTCTTAAGGCTGAATAGTAATCTGTTGTATGTATACACCACATTTTCTTTATTTATTCATGCACTGGTGGACACTTAGGTTGATTCCACAGCTTGGCTATTATGAATGATGCTACAGTAGACATGGGGATGGAGACATTTCTTTGACATTGATATCATTTCCTTTGGACATATTCCCAGAAGTGAATTGTTGGAACATATGGTAGTTCTATCTTTAATTTTTTTGAGGAACCTCTATAATATTTTTGATAATAATGGCTGTACCCATTTATATTCTCACCAACAGTGAATGAGGGTTCCCTTTTCTCTACATCCTCATCAATACTTATTGTTTTTCAAAAACAGCCATTCTACAGTTGTGAAGCGATACTACATTGACCTTTTAATTTGCATTTCCCTGATGATTAATGATGTTGAGCATTTTTATTCCTGTTGGCTTTTGTATATCTTCCTTTGAAAAATATTTAGTTCCATTGCTCATTTTTTAACCAGGTTATATGTTTCCTTTCCTTGCAACTGAAGTGTTTGAGTTCCTTATATATTAATCCTTTGTCAGATGTATGGTTTGCAACCATTTTCTCCCATTCTCCCATTCTGTAGGTTGTCTCTTTACTATGTTGATTTTCTTTGCTGTGCTGAAGCTGCAATCCCACTTGTTTATTTTGCTGTTGCTGCCTGGGTTTTAGGGGTCATATCCAAAAAATTCATTGCCCAGACCAATGTAAAGAAGCCTGTTATCTATGTTTCCTTTGAACCATTTTATGGTTACAGGTCTCAAATTTAAGTCTTATTTCATTTTGAGTTGATTTTTGTTACATGATGTGAGATGACAGTCCATTTTCATTCTTCTGTGGGTATTCAGTTTTCTTGCCAACATTCTTTGAAGGGACCACCCTTTCCTCCCTGTATGTTCTTGGCACCTTTGTTGAAAATCAATTGACTGTAAATGTGGGGATTTATTTCTGGCCTCTCCATTTTCTTCCATTGATTTTTATATCTGTTTTTATGGTAGCATCATGCCACTTTCATGGCTATTAGTTTTGTAGTAGATTTTGAAGTCAGGTAATGTGACGCCTCCAGCTTTGTTCCTTTTGCTCAAGATTGCTTTCAAACGATACGTATATACTATGATTTAGAGTTACTGATTGAGTAATTACACAGATGTAGAGACAAATCACAGATTTATTAAATCAGAGCATATAAGGGTTCCTATCCACTACTGGAAACCACTTAGTGACTTTCTTGAAAGGCAGTAATTCAGATCCTACTGAAATATTTTCAATGGTAGGGGATTTTTAAAGGCACTTTATCCCATTACTGAGCAGTTCTAATTATTATAAAATGATTCCTTCACTGAGGTGAAATATCCACCATATAACTACCACCCACTGCTTCTCCTATTTTCTTAAGCCTCAAAATTATGTTAACCATCAGACAGATCTTCAACTATTTGTGGATAGCTATTATGTGACCTCCTTAGTCTTCACCTCTTTATGTTAAATATTATCAGTTCTTTAACATCTTCAACACACACAGTGGTTCTAGATCTCTCCCTAGCTTGATGATCCTCCTTTGAATATGCTACAATTAGAGTGTATTTTCTACAAAATATAGTTTTCACATTCTAGCACTATACTCTAGAGGTGGCCAACTGAGGATACAAGGATAATTTGTGCTTTACACTTCTAAATAATTACACCATGCTATTGACACATACTGATCTTAACAAACCCAAAAGCTATTTTTACTTAATTGCCTAAGGCATGAGCAAGGTTCAGTCATACCCAGTTAAAGCACAAAGCAAATGGGTGACTGCCAAGCTAGTAAATTTATCAAAAACAGGAAGAGAGTTTTTTGAGATTTCTGTACCTGAGAATCTAGGTTCTCTTTTAATGTTAATGTC
Organism: Homo sapiens; assembly: GCF_000001405.40. Lineage (NCBI taxonomy): Eukaryota > Metazoa > Chordata > Mammalia > Primates > Hominidae > Homo > Homo sapiens. The sequence continues at coordinate 80,535,609 of NC_000004.12, read as the reverse complement.
TTCTCTCCACTAAACGTTCACCAATCAGCTGTTTATTTATCCATCCAGAAACATGGCTAGAGAGTGATATGAAGCTCTTCAGTTCTTTTTTTTTTTTTTTTTTTTTTTTTTTTTTGAGACGGAGTCTCGCTCTGTCGCCCAGGCTGGAGTGCAGTGGCGGGATCTCGGCTCACTGCAAGCTCCGCCTCCCGGGTTCACGCCATTCTCCTGCCTCAGCCTCCCAAGTAGCTGGGACTACAGGCGCCCGCCACTACGCCCGGCTAATTGAAGCTCTTCAGTTCTAGTGTGAAATTAAATATTTTTCCCATTGGGAAAATGAGGGAAGGGTCCCCTTTCAGGTATCATGGTATTTTTCCCATTCTAAAGAACTCTGAAAACAAAATGATCATTCTGTGTAACTTCCTATCAGGTAAGTTGCTAGGTCTGAGAAGCGGGAACTAGTTTCCCACTTATTTTATTATATTTTTATGATGGGTGCTTTGTCCTACCCAGATTGAAGATGATTCTTCTTAATGGAATAGGCACACACACACAAATTGCTAAACTCCGAGTCTCTCCTCTCTGTCATACAAGGGTGAAATGACAGTTCTCTTTTAATCTTTATTACTTTTATTATTCAGAAATCAAGTAAACACTCTATAGAATTTAGAAGCTTGAAGATTCTTTCATATTATATAAATTCATCTTCAAGTATTCCTATTGCCCAATCATTTCAATTATTCTTACATTTTACAAAAAGGGAAAAATATATGTACAATTAAAAATGCTGACAAGAAAATTCATTTACACTCTGTAAATTGGCTGATGCCATTATAATATCTCACTGTGACTCATAAGATATCTTTGTCCTATACAAGTGTTAATAAATGAAAATCAATTTTAGTGACATTTCTAGTGTCATATGGGCCTATCATTTACTTTCTGAAACAAGAAGAAAGTATCTTTATACTTTAAACATATGTCTTTATACTTTAAACATATAGTAGAAAATTCAAAATCTTATTTTTATATCCAATTGACTGCTACACTAAGTTTTCTCATTTCTGTACATAAATGAAACAAAAGTAAATTTTTTCAGCTCTAAAAAAGTTATCAAAATGTTAAGAGGGAATTTTGTTTCCAATTATCAAGATTAATTGTGCATTGTATCTAAGTACATATAACTAAGAATAAATTGCCAAAAGCTAGATGAGATGGAATATCTCTGTATAGAACTATGTGGTAAAAGTTATCTAAACTTTACAAACCTTAAAAATATAATAGGAAAATTTTGGTTGTTTTTTTTTTTTTTTTCCACAGAGTGAGTTCTGTTCATTACATTTGTAGATAACTTACGCTTTTAAGGAAAGATTCTTTAAAAATATTTTGTTGCTCTTTTTCAATGTTATAAAAATAAGAAATTGATTTTATCAAAGATAGAAATAAAGATAAGCAAAAAATAAGAAAAATAAAATTCCCTTTAGTTCCACCTCCCAGAAATAATCACTTTTTCAGTTTTTTACAAGAATCTTAAGTATGTAGCATGGTAGATGTTAGTTTACTTTACAGAGGTAGATATCATTAATTAATCATGGTGTTCTATTCTAATAATCAGAGTAGTTCCCTGATAACTCTGAACATGGTACTGGATCCAATTAATGCTTATGTATATTCCCACTATTTGTACATAATATTATGAACCTATCATATTTGTTGTCTTTATTTCTTACATAAGAGATCCAGATCATATACCCATGAAACAGTTTTTTTTACAACACTACTTTAAAGGACAGCTTACTATGTAACTATATGTGGGATTCTATATTTCACTGCAGAAGGTTTCCCAGGTATTTTTTGTTATGAATAATTCTGATGAGCATCCTTGGAGCATGTACACTAAGTGATGTAAAATTGATTTGCATTAAAAGGCTTTTAATATGTATTGCTAAATTATTGTCATAGGGCTTTGCAATTTTTTTTCAAACATTAAATGTCTTTGAGAAATAACTGGATCTTAGATATTTAGTGCATACAATTTTCTGCAATCCTTTTTTAAACTTTCCCTGAGGCAGGAAACCAAATAGCTTTGTTTTGCCAACAGTTAAGGCTCTTCTATAATTAAAATTGCAAAAGGTACCCACCCTGAAAAGAAAAAGGGATTTAGTGGCAAAAAATTTTTTCTAGCTAGAGGAGTCAAAAATAAGAAGAGATTGGAACATTCCAGTAAAAGAACTTATAAAAAGGAATCCTAGAATTCCACACCTGTGTTTACTAGTAAATGTTAACAACATTCATTCAACTTTTTAGAGAAACATGCTTGAATACAGTGTTCTTATCTTTTGTATTTAGCCAGGTAACTACTGACAGCTTCAATTACCCAGCTACTATTATGCAAATGAAATTGAAGCCAGAAGTCCTGCACCTGTGTTTTCCTCTGGATTTAATATTTCTAACGAGTTCTTAAATCCTGCTCTGCAGACATGCATGTGAGATTGCTCAACTCAGATTACAGTAGAGCAGGGGAAAATCTTTTCAAATGTAGACAATACTTAGAAGGAATTCAATAAAGCTTAGTATACATAAGGTTGGGATATTGTTAGATGGGAAATAGACACACAAAAAAACAATAAATTATCAAGATGTTTTTAGTATTGAGATGTGTGGCCTAGTGACATTAAAGTAATGAGAAAAAAAAGGTCAGAAAAAGTTCTTAGCCACTAGCTTTCCCTTTGTGGGAGGTCCTTTGTACCTTCTTGGCAGCCACCCCCAGTGACCTACCGTCACTGCTAGCTTTGCAGAGTTTTCTTCCTGCTTTTATGAACAATGTCTGCAACTGAAATTTAATTTCAAAAACATTTCACTGCTTTAATAACACAGAGATTTATAAATATCAACAGAAATAATAACAACCACAATAACAGTAGTTAACATGTAATTGAATCTTACCATGTGCCAGGCACAGACCCTAGGATTTAATGGGATTTATATAATTTACCTATAGTATGTCATTTACTCCTCACTAATTAATGAGAAAATAACTTAATCTTATTTTGCAAATGAGGAAACTGAAGCTTAGCTTGATTAGTCAACTGGATCAAGGCCACATAATGATTAAAAAATAGCAGAAGGCAATCCTAACTCTACTTCACACTACAGAAAAGTGAACAAGGCAAGATACTTGTGGCTTTCCAGTTATACATGCTAGAATGGTGCAAAGAAATTTTTTTAAAAAGTCAAAAAGATTATAATGGACTACTTCCCACTTTTTAATATCACATTCCCTTCTGACAGTTTTTTTCCCAACATTTAGTAAAGAACCTAGAAAAATGCTGCATCCTTCTACATGCTAATTTGTCTTATTTAAAAAATAGAAAAAATATTAAGCTGTAATAAGCTATTTCCAAAAGAGCCAAAATCTACAATACATAAAATACTTGAGATTTTAAGATGGATTTTGCTTCTCTATGGCTCAAATCTAAGTAGCAAGAAGAGGCAAAGGGAATAGGGAGGAGCATCATGTCATCCGTGACTCTTAAAAAATCTTTCCTAGAGCCCCATTAACAAATTCTGTCTTAGGCCGGGCGGAGTGGCTCACGCCTGTAATCCCAGCACTTTTGGAGGCTGAGGCAGGCGGATCACCTGAGGTCGGGAGTTCGGGACTAGCCTGACCGACAATGGAGAAACCCCGTCTCTACTAAAAAAATACAAAATTAGCTGGGCATGGTGGTGCATGACTGTAATCCCAGCTACTTGGGAGGCTGAGACAGGAGAATTGCTTGAATCCAGGGGACAGAGGTTGCAGTGAGCCGAGATCGTGCCATTGCACTCCAGCCTGGGCAACAAGAGTGAAACTCCATCTCAAAAAAAAAAAAAAAAAAAAAAACTTCTATCTTATCAGTCAGAAATGGGTCACACAGCCACACCTAGATGCAAGGGAGGCTGGGAAAATTAGTATTTTTAGCTAGGAACATTGCCACCTTGAACAAATCAGAAATCTATTTTCAATAAAGGGCATAATGGATATTGAATAGGTGACTATCAGTTGCTGCAGTCTGAAATAATCTTTGAGGTTTTTCTCTGCAGACTTTAAAAGATAATAAAAGATGGAAATTTAGAAGTATAATTGCAAATTGAAAATTATATCAACTGTAGGTGGTGCCTAGTTCCCTGGAGTGAAATTGAAAAACACATTTTTGAACCACAAGCTAAAATATTGAAAATTGGCAAAGTTAACAAGTACTTTGTTTCACACTTTAAGAAACACTTAAAATTATGCACTATACACTAACACAAAATGTATAAAGAAATTTATCTATAAATATATAAATGCCAGAAGTATAAAGGCAAAAATTTTAAAGCATGCCTGATTTATTTCTTTTACTAGCATTTAAAATCCAATACACTAGGAAATTTCATGCTATTTTCAAAATATGCCTGGAATATGGCCATTTCTTGCTATTTCTACCCTCCTGTCACTCATGGTCCAAGCCATCCTCATCTGGACTAGATTATAAAACTAGTCTTTTAATTGATCTTCCTACTTCTTCCTCTGCCTCTCAACACAGTAGCCATAGCCACACTTTTAAAATATAAATTATTATTTTTTCTCTGCTTAAAACCATCTAAAAATTCCAGTCTTATACTAAATAAAACCCAAAGTTTGTATATTGACATACGAGGCCCTACATAGTCTGTACTATCATTGACTTCCACACTCAGGTCTTGGATCTCATTTCCTACCAGCTCTCTTGCTTATCCATGCTAGGACTCCTTGAAGCACATCAACCTCAAGGTCTTTGCACATGTTTTCACTCTGCCTGGAGTGTGTTCTCTGCCAGATCAGCTCTGCTTTCTTCTTCACTTCCCTTTCATCTCTTTCTAACTATCGTCATATCAATTAGCTTTGCCTGATGGCATTATGAAATAATGACAGCATACCCCCTCTTCTCCATTGCATTTACAATTTAGCACAAAATGCATTGACTGATTCCTTCTTGTCTCCTTCCCCTCTACAGAGTAACCTCCACAAAAGCAAAGACTTTATTTTGTTAGTGGGTAAATCTTTCTGCTTGGACCATTGTCTGTTACATAGGAGATACTCAATATTTATTGAATGACTTAATAGACATTACTGTTTAGATGAAAAGATGAAAAGCCTTACAGTTAAGAAAAAGTAAAAAATAAAATGGCTTGTAGCATAACTGCATAACTTTTTTGATACTGTCCAGAAAATATCATTATAGCAGGAGAGTACCTATATTATTTTAAAGTAACTTAAAATTGTTTCACTTGACAATTTCAGGAAGTATCTGTATCTTACATATAAAATGTATAATATTTTTGAAAGAAATATCAAATATCAGCATAACACGATATATCTGCTGCACTTGACATTTCAGATTTTGAAACACTATGATCATAGTTCCAGATATATTGTCAATATTTCTGTGCTGTTAGTGTAATCCCATTCCAAAGCAAACATATGGAAGTACAAATCCCTTGTGGACTTAATAGAAATATTTTCGACGAATGTGTGACCAGCTTTGCTAACTCACATGCATTTTAAAAATTAGTAATTATAGTCTGAAAAAAATAATTCAATGTGTTAATTTATACAATTTCATCTCTCATGTTATTTATTTTTCTCATACTATCTTTAAATACTGTTTTTATAACAAGAGATTAATATTTCAAAATTGTGTACCATATTACAAAATGGAAAATCTTCTCTCTTTTAATTAAGTTTGCTTGTGTGTAATTCAGTTTCCTTCCTTAAGCTTGCAGATTTGATGTGTTACCTACTAGGTATGGAGAGAATATGCTGTATTCCTCTCTCTGACTACCTTTTCCTTGCACCTGACTTGTTTGCCAAGAAAAAAAAAAAGGATTGTATCTAAAAAGTGAGTTAGCAAGTGGAGCTGAGCAAGGAATCTTCAGCTTCTTCCTATGTACATAGAAAATAAAATAGAAATTAAAACATCAGTTTCAAGATAGCTTTTTGAAATAACTCTTGCTAAATTTCAGGATTAAAAATATATATTATGGTAGCCACTCAGAGGACTGTATTTCAGCATTGATTAAACCACAGTACCAGGACCTAAAAAGCCAACTAACTTTACCATAAATGAGCTAAACTATCAGTACAGATTGAGAGAAAATAAACAATCCAATACATACGTACAATAGCATTGAGTACTTTCTTTGGAAATCCATACTATGCTAGTCAATGTTTAAAACATAAGAACATAGTCTGTTGTATATGATGCAGTATATTCTAAAAATAAACCAAGGAAGGCATTTCAAGCTGTTTACATGACTAAACTGACAACAAAAAGATAAGTCATATTTATTGCCAGGAAAGGATTGGAAGAGAGCCTATGAGGCAGAGAAAAAAAAACCATGGAAAGGACTGGATGTAAGAGAACATGATGCTGGCAGAGATACAAGTGATTATCTGGAGCTTGAAGGATCTAGCAAGAGAGAAGACAGGAAAGCTGCTATCATATCACAGAAGGTCTAGTAGTCATTGCACTGCTTCATTGAGTTTTGGGAAGATTGCTTCAGATAATGGACTGACATGGAGAAATTTTGAAGGCAAGTAAAGAAGCTATAGAAATAATCCAGGCAAGATAGTTCAATGGCCTGAAATAAAATAGTGGATGAATAGAACTGAATGCATTTGGGATCATCAAGGTGGCAAAGGTAGCAGGACTTAAGAAGTGTTTAGTTAGTCCCAGAAAGAAAAATAAATTGGTAAGAGATAAAATATGAAGGTAGAAATATTGGCCTCTTTCTTGAGATACTGGGCAGCAGATGGTGATGCCATACACTGAAATTTAAATATTAGAGGGAGAGTGAAATCTGGAGAGAATAACATGATTTTAATTTAGGATATAATGACCTCAAGTTACTGTAGGATATTCAAGACCAAAACCCAGAAATGATCCTTGTCTCTTCTCACCCAATGTTGTATAAGAGATGGTATGAATTCACATACTTGGAATTAGAAATTGGTAGCAATTTGAAGGCATTGAAAGTAATGAGCATTTCAATATAATGTGGGCAGATGTGGCATTTCAGATAAGAGAAGAAAAGCAAGTTCAGGGACAGGGAGTGGGACGATAGCAGCCAATATCATCCTGGCAGCTGGAGAATTACTGCCTCAAACTAAAGGAGAATCTAGCCATCTTTCCCTGATGCCTACCACATTATGAAACACTAAGAAAGTAGACAGAGAATGCTACATGAACCATAAATATGATCAGTAAGAGCTAGAGGAAGACACAGGAAAAAACTTTGCCTTTTTTTTCTTTTCAAACAAAGAGGCATGAGCATGTGTAGGAAATATTCGGTAAATAGAATGAGGTTGAAAATATAGGAAGGAGGGTCTCATGGGCTCAAAAAAGGGTTAGAAGAATTATAAGGATTAGAATTAAATACAAAGATGGAAAAGCCTTCAGTGTTTGTTAGATGAAAATGATCTAACTAGTATCTTCTGATCTACACTGATACAACAAAATGGAAAATTACAACTGTACTAGAAATCAATAATCTTAATCAATGATCTGCCAGATCCCAAGAATTGTTCATCCAAAGTGCATTCATCCCAATTGTGGATGGGACTCTGAGTCAGGAAACAGGACCAAACAGGAAAAAGTTGGGGTGATATCTACCTACTGCCACTTGTAATCCTAATGTGAAGATCATGTCATTTGTCAACCAGGAAAATATCAGTCATTCCCTTCATCAAGGTCGGAGGAGACTAGACCCATTTAACTACCCTTTCCCAATCAATTCTTTTCTTTATATAACAACATCATAGAATATCCCTTGTTTTCAATCATACAATGTTGAAAAAAAGCAATTATAAGAAGCTATAAAGACCTGATAAATTCCAAAACAGAGGGGTCAGGCCAGGCAAAGAGAAAGACATAAATAGAAGTATAAAGGTGAGAAGGGTCATGCAGTTTCGGTGAAATGGAGAACAGACCAGTCCTACTGGGACAGTGTGTGTGAAGGGAATACACATTATTTAGTTGAAAGGAATGGAAGAAGCCTGATTATGGATGGGCTTTTGCTTTCTAATTCTGCCTTTGCTCACTATCCTCTAAACAACAGAAAGTTATTAGGAGCTTTTAGAAAAGGGGAGTTACATGATGAAAGTGATATTCTAGAAAGATTAATAAGGTCCCATCCTCTTCTTTTGCTTCTTCATTGGCAATACCTACATAAACTAACGTTGTGATGAAAAATGCAGTTATGAGAAAGAAGTCACAGATAAATTCTTACAATGTTCTCCTGTGCCTTCATAACCTAATTTATTATTTAAAAAAAAACCTCCAATATGTTTTTTTTCACAAGAACAAATGTTTCTGTTAAGATTTAAAATACTAGCCGGTAAGTCCCCAGCAATTTCAGAACAAGCAAGCATGTTTTGGTACTGAGGAGCACATTTCAGAACAATGATGATGAGTTTCTATAAAGAGTAAAGAGCAATTGTTAACATTTCTTGAATATGCTTAGCACGAAGGAGGCATTCTATTAAGCACTTGTGTGCATGATCTAATTTTATCCTCTCAATAATGGCTTCCCTAGGTATTAGATAAGAAAAATAGCTTGAAAAATTTAAGTAACTGGCCCAAGGTCTCACAGTTGGTGTCTTGCTCTCATTCACTACACCCTAGAAAGAGATTTTTCTTTTTAAGTTCAAAATATATTTGTTGCGTAATTTGTTGTAACACCCTAAAATAAAACCTTACATATGTATTTGTTCAAGAAATAGATATTAGGCTCTTATGATGTGTATAACGTTAGAACAGGATCTAAAAGGTGTGTAAGGTAAAATGTAATATGAGAGATAAAGTGAATCTGTTCTGCTATGCATATAGGTCAATTTATGTTTATTTATTAATTTTAATTAGAATCAAAGTATATGCCTTAGACAGAGTAACCTTACACACTGAAATAACACAGTAACAAAAGTGCCAATTAAATAATGGAGATACCTTATTTGATTTTAATGTTATAAATTTGAAAATGTAGGGTTGTACAGATATAAAAAATCTATACTCATTAAAAATCATTAGTATATTTAAAAGGTTTTACTTCTTAATTGTTAAGAAAAAAACATCGAAGATGACTTATTTAGATATTTTAATTTACTCTTTAACTCTGTCTCTAGTCTCTAGAGGTTTATAATTTTGATTTAGTATGTATTAGTAAAATTTGCATGAAAGATTCTTTTAACTGGGTAGTGGAAAGAGCTGAGGTCCTGAGGAAGAGAATTAATTTTCACTTTGAAGTGTTCCTTCTTACATAATGAATTTTCTGCTTTCCATGCCAAAATGTAGCTTTTCAAGCTACTTTCCAAATGAATATATTTTCTTTACTTCTTAATCAAAATGGAGATCCATCTCACCTCAAGTTTTCTGAGTATTTCATTGCAGCCTTGAGAGACCAGAGCAAGAACCTATCTAAGCTATGACCCGACTTCCGGCCAAAAGGAATTGTGAGGTACATAACTGCTAAATAGTGCATGTATGTACTGTTTTCACTTTAGATCCAGTTTATATTTAAAACCCAACTGAAAGGAGCCATGTCTCTTATATGAGTACAATTTTGTGAATTAACTCTCTGGTAAAACATTCCTTCACTAAGATTTTTAAAAAATTAAAAGCCCTTAATTAATTAAATTGTTTCATGCTAATTCTAAACCAGATCTCCATGTCCCTTTGTTCATACAGGTTATTGTCTAGTGGAGGATAGAGAGATTGGAACTACTGTAAATTCTAAGAGGAAGAATTTGGCATAATAAGAGATTATATTCAGAGATATCAAAAAAGTTATCTGAAGAAGTGAGCTGGAAGAAGTTGAGGGGTAAGAAAGGAAAAGCATTAATAAAGAGACCCTGTGGCAAGAGGAAGCCAAGGATCTGAAAGAAGCTGAGATGGCTGGCGCTGAGATAGTCAAGGGTCGAGACCGGGGAGGAAACGGCCAGATTATGCAAGGCTTTGTAAGCTTTGCTAAAGAGTTTTATCCCACTCCTAAGAGCTCTTGAAAGATTCAGAAAAGTTTAAACAAGAGTGGGAAATGAACATATTTTTCATTTCAAAGAAATAACCCTGGCTGAAGGATGGAGAATGGCCAGAGTAGATACAGACAAACTCATTAAAGAAGATTCTTCTATTGTTGAAGTAAGAAATAATGGTAGGTTGGGATAAGTTCATAATAAAGGTTGAGGAGGTAACAGACAGAAGCTGATGGATATGGATAAATATGATAAGATGAAATTCACAGGCGTTGCATGATGGAATAATTTTCCACTGTGGCCGACACATCCTGAAATGACAACCAGTGATTCATGTCTTTGTATAATCCTCTTCCCTTGAGTGCAGGTAAGGCCTTTGTCTTGCTTCTAACCAACACAATATGGCAAAGGTAATGGGATGTCACGCCCTTCATGACATTATGTGATATGAGATTCTGTCTTAGAAAAACAGAAAAAGAGGTACTTTTGCTGGCCTTAAAGAAGCAAATGTCATGTTGTAAACTGCTTATGGAGAGATCTGTATGGCAGGGAACTGTGGGCAGCCTCTAGGATCTGAGGACAACCTCTATCTAACAGCCAGCAAAAAGCCAGGGCCTTGTCATACAGACACATGGTAACAAACATTACTAACAACCAAAGCTTAAAGTAGATTCTTCCCCACTCAATCCCTTAGATGAGAATACAGCTCTGCCAACACCTGAATGCAGCTTCGTGAGAACCAGCAGGAGAACCAGCTAAGTTGTGCCCAGAATCCTGACAACAGAAACCATGACATAATAGATGAGAGTTATTTTAAGATGCTAAATTTGGTGACTTGTTACATATCAATAGATGATGAATACATCTAGAGTAATGAAGATGATCCCTAAGTTTCTGGTGCATCTCAATGAGGGAACAAGCAATGGTAATGACCCAGATTTGGGGGTAGGAGCTCCATCATGAGTTTTGCTTTGAGTATATCGAATTTGAAATTCCTTAAGACACCCAAGAGGAGATGTCAATTAGGCAGTCATACATATGGGCCTAAAGCTCAACAGAAGCCATAGGCTAGATTAGTGGTGATTTTACCCCTCAAGAATCATTTGAAAACACCTACAGACATTTTTAGTTGTTATAACCAGAAGTTACTACTGGCATCTAGTAGGGAGAAATCAAGGATTCTGCTAAACATCCTGTAATACGCAGCACAGATCCCTATGCTTCCCTCTAGAAACAAACTGTCAATAGTGCTGAGGCTGAGAAACTCTGGGCTAGTTACATAAACCCCTTAATTTGTATGTAGGTGATGTATGAGCCCATGGGCACTGGTTAGACTATCCAGGAAAAAGCATAAAATAAAAACACAAGATGACTTAAAATTGATCCTTCAGGAAGGTCAACATTTTGTGGCTGGATAAAGATTTAACCTGCAAAGAAAACACAGATGAGGCTGAAAGAAAGGTAGAAGAGAAAATTTCTGTATTATATAAAGTTTGAGTACTTCAAGAGTTTGTCCTAAGTATTTCCCCTTCCAGCTATACTCTCCTTTGATGATCTCATTTACTAATTTGTTTCAAGAGAAGTGACTGTTTCAGTATTAACCCAAAGGCCTGGCTATTATAAAACTCACTGTGGCATGATTTGATTCTTGTTAACATGTTCTCTTATTATCTGGATTATTATGAAAAAAAAATCAAGTTGATGTCAATCTGTAACTAGCATGCCTGGTGTTAGAGTCAGGGTTCTCCAGAAACAGGACGCATAGAATATATAGAAAAAATTTTATTATGAGGGAGTGGTTCACACAATCGTGGAGGCTGAAAAGTCCCACAATCTGCCATCTGCAAGCTGTAGGCCCAGGAAAGCCAGTGACGTAGTCATAGTCTAAATGCTAAGTCCTGAGAATACGGATGTTAATATTTGAAGGCAGGATAAGATGGGTGTTCTAGCTTATATACAAAGAGCAAGATCACCCTTCCTTCATATTTTTTTCTATTTGAACTCAACGGATTGAATGATGCTTCACCCACATTGGTGAGGACAATCTTCCTTACTGAGTCTACTGATTTAAATGCTAATATCTTCTGGAAACATCCTCACAGACACACCCAGTTACCTAGGCACCCCTTAGCCCAATCAAGTTGATATATAAAATTAAGCATCACAACTGGGAAATTAAATCATTCATCCAATAAAACATTCTATTATTTTATAATTAGTAAAAAAAGTTTATGATCAATTTACAATACCGTCCATGGTTTTCAGGATACAAAATCAGCATGCAAAAATCAGTTGTGTTTCTATACAGCAGCAACAAACAATCCAAAAGGGAAACCAAGAAAACAGTCCCATTTACAATAGCATCAGAAATAATAAAATACTTGGGAATAAACTTAACCAAGGAGGCAAATGATCTGTATAATGAAAACTACAAATATTGCTGAAAGAAATCAAAGAAGACCTAAAGATACTCTATGCTCATGATTGGAAGACTTAATATTGTTAAAATGTTCATTTTATCCAAAGAGATGTACAAATTAAATGCAATTCCTATCAAAATCCCAAAGACATTTTTGTGGAAATAAAAATACAATCCTAAAATTCATGTGGAACCATAAAGAACCCCAAATAGTTCAAACAACCTTGAGAAAGAAGAACAAATCTAGAGGTATCATACTTCATGGCTTTAAAAATATTACATAGCAATAGTAATCAAAATAGTATGGTACTGGAATAATGACAGACATATAAACCAATGGAAAAAAATAAGAGAGCTGAGAAATAAACCCATACATATATGGCCAAATGATCTTTCACAAGATTGCCAAGGCTACACAACTGGGAAAGAATAGCTTCTTCAACAAATAGTGCTGGGAAAACTGGACATTCACATGCAAAAGAATGAAATTAGACCCTATTTTACATCATACACAAAAAATATATCAAGATAGATTAAAGACAAACATAAGATCTAAAACTATAAATCTCCTAGAAGAAAACATATGGGAAATACTTCAAAATGTTGATCTTGGAAATGATTTCTTGTATGACACCAAAACACAGGCAATGAAATAAAAAATAGACAAGTGAGAATACATCAAATTAAAAAACTTCTGTGCAGCCAAGGGAACCATCAACAGAGTCAAAGGGCAACCTACAGAAATGGAAGAAAATATTTCCAAACCTTTAACTGATAAGGGTTTGTATCCAAAATATATAAGGCACTCCTACAACTCAATAGCATAAAAACAAATAACCTGGTTTAAAAATGCGCAAAGGGGTAAAGAAACATTTCTCTAAAGAAGACATATAAATGATTAACAAGTATATAAAAAGATGTTCAACATCACTAATCATTAGGTAAATGAAAATCAAAACCACAATTAAATAAAATCTCATATCTGTTAGAATGGCCCTTATATTTAAAATAAATAAAGAAAAATAAATAAAATAAAAACCAAAACAGAAAGTAATAAGTGTTAGTGAAGACGTAGAATACTTGGAACCCTTATGCACTTTTGATGGGAATTATATAAAATGGTACAGCCACTATGGAAAACAGTATGGAGGTTTCTCAAAAAATTTAAAAAAGAACTATCATATGATGCAACAATCTCACTTTGTATTTTCAAAAAACAATTGAAAACAGGGTCTGGAAAAGATATTTGCACCCTCATGTTTGTATCAGCATCATCACAACAGCCAAGAGGTGAAAACAATCTAAGTGTCCATTGGATACTTAGATTGAATGGATAAAGAAAAGTGATATATACCTACAATGGAATATTATTTGAACTTACAAAAAAAAAAAGGGAATCCTGTCATGTGCTACAATATGGATGAACCTTGTGGATATTTTGCTAAGTAAAATATGCCAGTCACAGAAGGGCAATATTGTATGATTCCACTCTCTGAAGTCTCTAAAGTAGTCAAACTCATCAAAGCAGAACATAGAATGGTGGTTGTCAGGGGCTAGGGGAAAGGGGAAGTGGTGAGCTGTTGTCAATGGGAATAGTTTCAGTCATACAAGATGATAAAGTTTTAGGATCTGCTGTACAACAACATACATGTAGTTAACAATATTGTGCTGTACACATTAAAATTTGTTAAGCAGATAGATTTCATGTATGTAGTTTTTTCCATGATTAAAACAAAATAATCGTTTACCTATTTTTGTCACAGCCAAAGACTATGTCATAAAATTAAAGTATAAAAACACTAGTTTCATATACCAGAAACAGATACCACTGACATTTAAATCAAATATTTAAGTGAACATCAATATTATGATAGCCATATAAGAATGAGAATAAAATTACCTGTTTATTGTGCCTAGGGAAATACTGTGCCTAATTTGATCTCATTTGGGGAAATGTCTTACTTAGAACAATATATATAAATGATTTTTTTGTGTCGGTTTAATTCCTCAGGAAAAAGACCTATAATCTCCATCATTCCAATTTCGAATACTTACTTTTGTTATGCTAATGGTAGGTTTTCAGGTGATCCCAGAATTTTCTTTTGTCTACATATTTGATGTCATTGTTTTAATCGCAAAAGTTTCCTCTATTTCTTTTCTCTACTTACATAATTTCCTATTTGCATTCACTGCAAAAAGCAAATTTGTGCCCCCACCATGTACTCTGTAAATGTGCATTTCATAGGAGTCATGTTCCTAGCCCCATTTGATCTCTATTTTTTATCCCTTGTATTTCTCACATCGAATTTACATTTGCTTGTCATAAATTGTCTTAAATTATTTGTGGAATAAGATAGAATATAACAACTTATAATTTTAAAAGGCCACCAGAAAGTCTTGTTTAATGTGCATAAATATAGCTATAGTTTCAATTTTTTAAAACTCGTCTTCGATTCTATCTTTTAAGCTACATTTTTAAGTATGTATAATTCTGGGAGTTTATTCTTGCCTCCCCACTATGCGTGAAGAGAGAGAAACAATCAAGGTTTCATCTCACAGGCAAGACTTGCCTCAATACGTTGGGAACTTGCATGCTATTGGGACATGATTTGGTGAAGCTGCATTGCAGCTGAGCTACTGCCTCTGGCAAGTGTTTAATGATGGCACCTTAGAAATGCTTTGACATTTCCATGTTGAAGGTGAGGGGAAGTACTTTAAGGAAAAAAGAATCTTAAACAAGTGGGTTGTTCTGAGAATGAAGATAAAGCATAATTTTCCCTATTGTGTCAGAGAAGGTTATCACAGAAAGCATGCTGATAGAGAACAAGACCCAGTTAACTCTAAGATATTGCTAATGGGTATACCCCACCTAGCTGGTACAGTCAATATTTTGATGCTTAGAGGAGATAAAATGAATCCAGAAATGCCCCTCCCAGAACACTGTTTTAAAACCAGGCTTATTTCCGTTTGGTTGTGCTACATATTATAGTAAAATAAGTTAGCCCATTAGGTATTGAAAACAGAGTTTTTAAAATAAATAAAGAACAAATGGAAAATTAAATAAATAGCTTTAAAAGTCATCACCTGCTTTTTTCACTCTGTCTCCAAGTGAAACTCCAAATTAGTATTAGCCTAGAACGGAGATAGGGGAGGCAAGGAAGATGTAGAAAGCCTCTCTTGTATAGCTCTCTTTGTCCTAGCCCATCCTGACCTTCACTAACTGCAATTCTGATGCCATTTGAATCATAAAATTATGTGTTCAGAGCTCCAAATGAGACTGCAGCTATAGACTGACTATATAGGTTACAGGAATCTTGCTCATTTTGCTTTTGTTATTTGTGGTATGCAACATAAATTTATGTACCCAAGGTTTAAGGGCAGTTACAGGATAGTGTTGACATATTTGGCCATGGTCTACTGAAATTTCTACATTCTTTAGCCTTGAATGCCTCTTAAGCCTGGCTCACCATCAGATTACCACCTCCTTTCTGCACTTAGGTGGCTGACTTATTGAACATGGATCTACGATTTTATAATGATCCCTATATTAAACTGTATCTCATTGTTTAATTTCATCCTAGTCTGTTGTTATATTTTTGAGTTTTAATTCAAACACATTAATTATTCTTCAAAGCTTTAATTCACTGCAATTGTATTTGTTCAACAAATATTAACTGAGGCCAGGCATGGTAGCTCATGCCTCTAATCCCAGCACTTTGGGAGGCTGAGGCAGGTGGATCACTTGAGATCAGGAGTTAGAGAACAACCTGGACAACATGGTGAAACTCCGTCTATACTAATAACATAAAAATTAGCCACCTGTGGTGGCACATGCTTGTAATCCCAGATACATGGGAGGCTGAGGTGGGAGGATCACTTGAACCCAGGAGGCAGAGATCGCAGTGAGCCAAGATCGTGCCACTGCACTCCAGCCTGGGTGACAGAGCGAGACTCCATCTCAAAACACATGCACACACACACACACATACACACACACACACACACATATTAACAGAGTACACACACAAACACATATTAACAGAGTGCTTTCTATGTACTAGTAACTATGCTAGGCAGTAGAGGTAGAATTGCAAAGATGAAGCAGAAAAAATTAATTATTATTTAATCACCAATGTTAATGAAATTTTTGACTCTTCTACAGTCAAGCCTTATGATCTAGTACTCCAGCCCACATATCTTGTTGCTCTATTCACACTTAACTTTCCAGCATTCACTTCACTTGCCAGTACTTTTGTATTTGTATGTCTTCAGTGTTTGTACTTCCTTCTGCCTGTTATACCCACCCATATGTCCTCTCTAAGCAAAGTTCTACTTACTTCTTCAAGTGCTAGCTCAAATGCCAACCCAGGCAAGCCATAATTGCTAATTCTAAGCAACTTGAGGGCCCCATACTCCCATTCGCCAGGCAGGGATACCTGATGGCCAAGCAAAGCCAGCACATGACATGATCCTGTTATCTTTCCCTGCTCACCACCCAACATAGAAGCTTGTTCAGTCATTTTTTCTCCCTTAAATATGTATTTCCATACTCTTCTGTAATTCCTTGCATCTCAAGCATTTTAGAGCTTTCTGCCCTCTTAAAACGATGTGCTAAAAAAAAAATCCATTTTTCATGAAAAGTAATCTGACCTGCATTCTGAGCACCTTTACTGTATATTTTCTTTATGTTCTTGCCCTAATTCAAGCTTGGTTCTCCTGTACGGAACTCGCAAGTGTAATCCACTCACTTTCTCATATTCTGTTTATGTTAGAGTCAGGACAAGTGACTGTTATTGTCCTAAATCCTTAATGATGCCCCCAGATCTTTTTGCCTATAGAATTATTTGGGAACCCTTGATCTTTAATGGCTTATGTAGTGCTCTGGCTATCCACTCTATCCCTCTTTGTTGTTTATCTACGAGTCTCTTGATCATTTCACCACATTAATTGAAGGCTTTTGCTCTCAGCATCATTTCCTGTACACCAATTGCTAATATTATCTTGTATGTCTTCAAAGTCCATATGAATAATCTTAATCTCTCAGATTAATCTCTGCCTTCTCATCCTCAGTGAACCTTACTTCTCTACTCCTCTTTACCAACCAACTCACATGTCCATACCCCCAACCTTGTCATCACCTAAAACTGGTCCACTCTAAAACTCTTAAACTCAAAGAAACACAGCTTCCCATTATTCTGGCTTTATCACTCAGATTTTAGATCTATTCTTAGATCTCAGCAAGGCACCCAGTTTCTTAATGCTTCTACTTTCTTCCTATCAAAGAGCCTACCTGTGTCTCCACTTTATGTCCTTTTGTATTCATAGTGCAGTTCATCAATCACTGTCTCACCATGTCCTCAACTCTCTTGTCTCTCTCCTACACCCTCACTGATTTAAACTGAATGCTTGCCTTCTATACCTTGGCCACTGAACCTTGGTAGAGAAATAAGTAGTGTGTATCAGTGCCTAACTATAGATCTGTGGCTTGCAACATCACCAGCTCACTCATGGCTGTCTAGGAATACTTCTAGGTCCCACTAGTGAAATCTCTTTCCATTCCTCACAGCAGCCACTTCAAAATGTGTATAATTATCTCAAATCTCTGGCTACATCGTTTCTCAAGATAAAACAATAACCTTAACATTACACAACAAAAATTAAGCCAATAGAATTCCCTCAGTTTTCCACAGCTTGATCTACAAACTTAGCTGCATCTACCTGCATGCCTTCAGTCTTCTCTCCAGTTACAACAGGAAAGGGTTTAGTGTCCCAGGTAAGGGTAATTTCTCTTCCCATGGTTTGGAATATACTTATGAACTTCTCATGGACCTACCTCTATTTCTTTCTTTAGGAGGCTTCTGACCAGCATTTCAACATGCTCAGTTCTTTCTGATCTAAAACAACAGAAATTCTTACTCAAACCAGTGTCCATTCATTCTAAACAATTTCCTATTTCTTTCCTTCCTACCCCACAATTTAGAAAGTGCTGCTGAACATTGGCTTATATTTAGACATCTCCTATTTACTCCTCAACAAACTGTGAAACTAGACATTTCACTGAAAAATGAGATCCCACCAAGGTCATTAATGAACTTCTTGCTGCTAAATCCAATGGAAGCTCATCTGTCCTTAGCTTAATCCACTCATTCATTCAATACATATTTACTAAGCGTTTATTATACCAAAGCCCTGAACTAGGCACTGAAGATAGAGCTGTGAATAAAAAATAAAAAGATCGCTGCCCTAGGGGATATGATTTCTAAAGGGTTACAGTGATAATAAGCTGAGTATGCACTGAGAGGTGTGCTTCTTAAATAAGTAGCCTACACTTAAGGAAATAATTATACTTCATTCCCAATTGGCCTTTAAATCTTGCAGCCAGGGCTCCTCACAAGCTTTAAGATGGCAACTACTTTCTTGAGGGTCAGATATAACGAAATTTCCTATCTCCCTATGACATGGTTTGGATGTTTTTCCTCTCCAAATCTCATGTTGAAATGTGATCCCTAATGCTGCAAGTGGGGCCTGGTGGAAGGTGATTGGATCATGGGGTCAGATTCCTCATGAATGGTTTAGCACCATCTTCTTGGTGATAAGTGAGTTCTCATTCAGTTAGTCCACCTGAGATATGTTGTTTGAAAGAGTCTGAAACCTCCCCAATTTCCCTCTTACTCCCTCTCTCATCATGTGACATCACCTGCCATCCCTTCACCTTCCATCATGATTGTAAACTTCCTGAGGCTGTCACCAGAAGCAGATGCTTGAGCCATCCTTGTATAGCCCACAGAACCATAAGCAAATTAAACATATTTTCTTTATAAATTACCTAGCCTAAGGTATTCCTTTATAGAAATGCAAAAACAGGGCCAGGCACAGTGGCTCACACCTGTAATCTCAGCACTTTTGGAGGTTGAGGTGGGAGGATTACCTGAGGTCAGGAGTTCGAGACCAACCTGACCAACACAGTGAAAACCTGTCTCTACTAAAAATACAAACATTAGCCAGGCATGATAGCAGGCACCTGTAATCCCAGCTACTTGGGAGGCTGAGGCAAGAGAATCCCTTGAACCTGGGAGGCAGAGGTTGCAGTGAGCCAAGATCACGCCACTGCACTCCATCCTGGGCGACAAGAGTAAGACTCCGTCTCAAAAAAAAAAAAAAAAAAAAGAAATGCAGAAACAGACTAACACATCCCACTAGATATTGTATTTTGGTCCGCTAAATTAATGCATATGCAATGTACTTTCTATCTTCTTTCTTGTATTATTAACATGTAAATTATTGTTATTTACACAACCATCAGCTCCTTCAGCAAAGGCTTTGTATGAAATTCTCCATTTGTCGTCCAGCTATATCCCAGAGCCTTACATATAAGAGATTTCTAAAATATTGTTAAATGAACAGATAAATAAATGCATGTGAAATAAGTGGTTTACATTAAGTCTATGGCTACCCTCCAAAAAACAAAGGCAGTTTTATTGGGTTCTATAATTCCATGATGCATTGGAATCAACTATTAATTGTTATCACAGCTTGTTATCCTAACTCCCTGGGACATCATATTTTCTTTTAACTCTAGAAGGAAAGTTCACTGGAGATAAATGTAAAATTCTGTGTTTTAATTGTTGGCATGTAAACTAAACATAAATGTTCTGAACAGAAAAAGCAATATAGAAATATGCAAACATTTCAAAGACTTAGGATATTCTGAATGCTGCTAAGTTTTGCCAATTTTTTAAAGAAAGATTGTGCCTACAGAGACAAAATGAAATGGAGAGCATAGCAATTAGCATGAGAACTAGATTAATTAAGACAGCCAGCTTGGATAATAATGTTGATATTTTCTGTAACAACATAGTGGGGTGGAACATTTATTTCAACAACAACCTGAACCATTAGTGTAATTTCATATTTCAATAGCCTCTATGCACAAATATATTTCTAGATGTCTTCCTCAAGCAGTTGCTTGCATAATTCCAGAAATCTTGTTCAATGGAAAATCACTTGGTGGGAACATGGAAATAATTGATGCTTGGTTTAAAAATGTTTCTTTGGATGTTAAAATTAAACAAATGTAGAGAAATTTAAGATGCTAAAATTTCTGCATGCAGTTTTTTTATATTTGTGCATTATATGAAAAGACATTTAAGCAAAGGAGTTTGCATCGCCAGGAATTTGTTTCTTTCTATTAGAATAGACACCGTTCTGGGTGGGTTGAGGTGACTCATTAATATTTTGTACTCTTTGAATTAAGAAAACTGTTTTCTTCAAATTTAGAAATAAGACAGATTAGTCTTTTATAAAATAATTTGAGATTACTAAATTACTATTTTTTTACTTATTCCAGAAATTTCAACACATAATTACTGAACATTGAAGTGGCCATGCTTTTCTCTCCATTAGATATTTATTTTATAAAAAAGACATTAAATTATACTCTTTCTTATCAACTAGAATCTATTCAAAGAGCAGGTAAAACCAGGAGAAAAGAGGGAGAACAGCAGAGAAAGAATCACCAGGTAAACAAAGATGTGTTAGTAATGACAAAGAGGCTATGAAGTTTTGGTCTTTGATGTCATACAAATGCAGCATCAAGGGACCAGTGGGCTTTAAATAATCATTTTTATTTGGTAAGGGCTTGCCAGTCATCTGTTCATAATTAACCTGAATTAACTCATTTTTATGCTCATAATTTTCCAGTTGAATTGGAAGAGTTCAAAAACTTTTAAAACTATTTTAAGATATACGCGTTTTTTGGCCTTCTCTTTTCCCATCATGCTATTATGGACATTTAAAGTTTACTGTAATTATTGGCTACCTCCTAGTTAAATAATAAAATCACCTTAAGTTTTATTAAAATCTGGAAAGATTAATAACATGATCAAAGAGCAATATCGATCCCTTAAGATGCCGTGCTCAAACTTTGGTTTCATATTACCATCTGAAAAGTTCATTACTAATTGTTGTTCCAATCTCTTCTCCTCAATAATATGGTCTATTTTTTGAATTGATGTTAGTCTAAAATTATAAAAAATCTCTTTGACCATGAAAGGAATTTCTAACACGACCTTAAAAACAAACAAACAAACAAACAAAAAAACACACATTTTTGAGGGACTCCAGAATGATCACTGATAGGCTTTCAACTGTAAATTCTATAGTAGAAGTTCATTGGAACATCATTTACCACGACAAAAAGTTCAATTATCTTTTGGTTCTCTTCCCTCCATATTGTCTGTTTTCCTCCTTCATATTTAAACATATGGGTTAAGGTCTCTCACTTAATATTTTAATGGTATGATTTAATTAATTCTTCCATAGTGTATATGCACATTATATTTTACCTAATAAGTATGAACAGTAGTTATCAGAGATTCCTTGAGTGCAAATTTTATTATTCTCAAGGTAGTTGGGATGATTGGAAAAAAATACTATTAAATTACAAAATTTAAATTCATTTTTTTATGTTAAAGCCATTTACCATCATTACACATTCACTCATTTAACACATATCTATTAGATGCCTACTGAATAGCAGACATTGTGCTACATTCAGGGGACCCTTTTGGAAGCCCAGAGTTTACTTGAGGATGAAATTATCTAACAAATGCATAGCTTCCAAACGTTCATTTCTCTACTGAATAGTAACCAAAACTCTGGCATATTGCACAGATTCAAATGTTGACAGGAAGGAAATACATTAGAAAAACTGTGGGCTTGCATTTTAGACTGTCATTTGTATAAAATATGCTAGTATGAAGTAATATTCCTTTTACTTTAAGGAATATGGGCTGCAAAATATTTGAAGGACTGTGTTATACAGCAAACAAGTAAGAATGACCAGCCAGAAGTTTGCTGATGCTTGCTCTGACTGGACACAATTTTTACCACTACTTGTGGCTCACAGCTGCTGCCTAAAATGTTTCAGAATTGTTTAAGTATAACACTTAATATGGAAATTCCCTATATTAAGTAGGATATGCATATGCTTTATCAATCAAAGCACAATATTTCTGAGAGTAAAAGAGTGTTATGAGTTATTATACTGGGATAACTGACAAACTGGGGCTATCTAAGCCACAGGCATATGGTCTTGCTAATATCAGGGGACCTGAGCATATATAATTCTTCCATAAATTTTTCTTTTAATGGAAATTCTGCAAAGTTAAAATGTGAATTCAATTTGGGTTACAGTTAGAAATATTATTGATCTGCATTTTATTCTATGCTTTTAACTAAATTACTTTAAAAACATGTTATTATATAATTTATTTTAATCATTATCATTAATCATTTATGTGAAGAAAAAGAGGGAAAGAGAAATATAGAGAAAGAGAGATACTATAAAAATGCCAAATATGGGACTACATGTAATATATATAATTGAAGTTAATCTTGCAGAGGGAAGTACAAAGCATTGTTTTCCTCAATATTATTATCACTTAATCATCTCTTTTTTGACATCCAAAGATGCTTTTTGCACCACAGCTCTAACATAATTTCTCTGCAGCAAGATAAGTCCCCACAGCTGGTAAATAGAGCTGCGATTTGAACCCAGGCATTGTGAGTTCCTGAGGTTCATATGTAACTCCTTTCCTCATCGCCTCACTATGAAGTGGCTCTAGTTATCCTATTAGGCAGCTCACACCTATTATATAGCTTATTCGCCAAAAGCCCTGATGACCACATCTTCAGTTGAATCCAAAATATAAGTCCTTAGGCTACCATTTAGAGTGGTTTTCCATATGTGCTTCATAAGCATGTTGCGGCATGAGTTATTTTGTAAAAGTTAGGTGCAATTTTTCTTTTACAAGACACTCTTAGCATCGGATGCTTTGTCACCTTCTCCCACTTGCTTCAGCTTAGTGGGAATCTAGGTAATCAATCAAGGAGATGGTTAATGGGAAAAGTTGTGACTGTTTCTTCTACACACACACATGCACACACACACACACACACACACTATGTAATATGTGTGCCTGCCATCACTACCAACCTAAAATAAGTGAAATTGATTTTTTACTATTTCCTCTTCCAAGACTGAACTTAATAGGCATTTTAATCTGATTTCGCACAAATAAAAGTGTTAAAAAGTGCTGAAAGAGTTGAACGACTTAATTTAATTTTTCCTAGTTACTGAAAGCATTTAAGGCGGGGGCCAGGAGACCCTTGTTTAAAAAAACTTATAAAAGTTGATTAATAATTTCCAAAACTCAAGAATTTTTAAAAGTTAATTTTTGGGTCTCTAAGAATCTCTCAGTATTTCATATGAAATCTTACTCCTAGTGTAGTAATTTCTGCAATGATCCTAAGATAATTTACCATTAAGTTAATATAACTTTAAAGAGAAGAGGGCCTGTTATTTTATGCTTGGTTTGGCTATAGTTATTGGCCATATCATTAAAAGATAAAAAGATTCACTCTAGTCAACCTTTAGGTCATATGATGGCCCTGGGGTCAGTAGCTTTATAAAATGCCACTATATGGTTTGTTTGAAGATTCTGGCCTTTAATAACATTCAAGGAAAAGAAGCACATCTTAAGTGTGTGTAATGGTCAACTTCATTATCACATTCATGGCCATTACCTTCATTGTTAGTAACTACTGACTTACAAAAAATATTAAAGTGTCAGTCATATTCATTTAAGTGAAAAAATATGAAAAACTCATTTTGAATACTTCAATATGTCATAGTTATGTTAAACTGTGATTATACTTCCTAATATAAAAGATTAGCCAAATTAAAGTATGTAGTGATTTTCTGCATTTCAGTAAATTTCATTTATAAATCATTAAATATAGCTGGATTGTACTAAAAAATAAATTGTTAGATGCTATGTGCATCTCCTGTATTTAATGTCAATAATAACAGTTACCAACATCTATACAAAGCTGTCTGTGTGTCCCCATTCTCATCTTTTCATATATACTTAGTTCATCTTTGTAATTACTGCATGAACTAGGTAGGTACTTTTAATATAGATAAGGGGAGGCATAAAGAAATTAAACAGATTGTTCAAGATCATATACAGATAGGGAAGCAGCAGGACTTGAACCCAGATAGTACAACTTCAGCATTCATGCTCCTAATCACCGCATTATATTGCTTCTTCAGTAAATAGGAACATTAAAATTAGACCAAAGTATTAATAAAAACTCCTATTGGATCTGAATAAGTTTCTTCTCAGAGAAATACCAAATTCATTCTCACTAGATGGCTAAAAGAAGCCAGAGGTTGGCCAGTCATCAGTTACCCATCAGAATAAAGTACTGAATATCCATTTTTCTAAGTCAATGCCAACTATGTCAGGAGGCTGGGGGCCAATGACAGGTCATTCAGAGTTTTGGATCTAACATTGTACATACTACAAATGATAAATAGTTGGGGTGATGTTCACTTGCAAGTCTTGAATATGGCTTTTGTTTCCACAGGTTTATTATCAAATCATATTTACAGATTCTTGAATAACCTTCTTACTTGGAAAGGGCATATATTGGTGTTATTTTAAGATCCCTGTACTAACTCATGACTGGCTTACACAGGAGTACCTAGAAGCAGAGGCTGGGTCAGGGATTCAGGTACTTGTGTACTGTTGCGGGAATGCTCAGAGGTGGAAAAGCAGTCAGTGTTGGGGACAGGGTAGGTCAGAGGACGACGCAAGAAAGGATGTGAGCTCAGCTATAGTCTATTTCAGTCTGATCTCAAGAGAGACTATGAGGTGTTTTGGAACACATATGGCTCCACAGAGGTGTGCCATCTTGAGGCAAGGAATCCACTTTTTACTTCTGTAACACCACAATTCTCTGGAGAAGAGCACCTGTAGGACAGGAGCAGCCAGCACTCACAGCAGCTAGAAGATGGGTGAACTGACTGGTCAAAGAAATCTGGATGAGTACCAATAGCATCCACTAAATCCTTCTTGTAAAGAAGATAGACAGATGACAATTAACTTGTAGTGCAATTTGGTATCATCATTCAGATAAGCGAAACATATTTTTTAAAAAGCATAATAACAAAGAGGAGGAAAGAACAAATCCTATATGAGGCAACTGGAAAAGGCTTCCCATATCATTTTGAGGATTCAGTGCAAAATGGAAATGTCAGGTGCCATGTTCAAATTATTAAGAATTTCAAGATGGTGACAGAGCATTAAACCAAGTATGGAGCCCTCTTCCAAGGTTAGGACTCTGCAATGACACAGGTTGCTTGTCCATGAAGCTGATACTGATGGTGAAGAATCTGTGAACAGTGAAGAACCCACAGGATCTTGGAGGAGAAAAACTAAAAACTGCAATATGCAACCTGCCAGAAAAAAAAAAAAAATCTGGCAGCAGTGCAGAAGATGGCCAGGCAATCAGTTTTGTGATAAACTCATGGTGTTTTCTAGGCAAGTTAGATGTCTCATCACTCATGTCAATGAAGCAAAATGTTCAATCTTCAAAAAGTATGGCCACTTTCTGTTGTAGATTAGTTAAAATCTGTAATAGTCAATTCTGTGTGAAGAAATAATAATTATATTTCCCTAATGAATAGTTTTCTTCAAATTATTTATGATCTGATAAATCCTGTTTCTAGTTACTATGTTTCAGAAATAAGCAATTTTATAAGAGTACAATATAGAGTTTCAATATTCACACTCAGAGGTCAAGATTCAAGAACTGAGTAAAGAAAACTAAAATGAATGGATATGACAACATATTCTTGACTACATGCCACATTCACATGTGAAGATAACAAAAGATTCTGGTATTTACTTAGCTTTCACTTTGGGCCCACATCATTTAATAGCAAAATATATGTTAAAATTTTGTTTCCTCTGTAAGCAGAGAACAGCTTAATTCCACCTTCTATACTCAAGCTTGCTCTAAAATATTTCCTCATGAATCAAAGATTTAATAATATATTTTAGCATGCTGTAAGCTAATAAAAGACTGCCATGCTATTATTTTTATAAGGTGTTTAAAACTAAAATTAAGTAATTTTGCATATTAACAGTGTATGTTCAAATTCTGTATTTAACTTATAAGAGCTATAGTTAGGCATCTGTGTTCAACCACACTATATCCTGTGGTTTAAACTTCTCTCTGCCCCTTCATTAGTAACCAAGACCAGCATGGAAACATCTGGGGTCAGGAAGTTATCTCTAGGATTTACATTTAGGAAAGGCTAAACTTCTAAAGCTGATCTTCAGCTCTAGAAGTCTATAGTTCTGAGCCAAAAAAGTGTTCTCCATCATATCTCATATTGCTCTGTTGGCAGTCTGTCATTTGGCCCGTTCTGGTGTCTGGAGAGCTGTGTTCCACAATACACCTGAAAACATTGATCAGGCTGGGTGGTGTGGCTCATGCCTGCAATCCCAGCACTTTGAGAAGCCAAGTCAGGAGGATTGCTTGAGCCTAGGATTTCAAGACCAGTCTGGACATTATGGTGGGACCTGGTCTCTGCAAGAAATTTTAAAACAGCCAGGAGTGGTGGTGCACTCCTGGAGTCCCAGCTACTGGGGAGGCCAAGTTGAGAGAATCACTTAAGCCTGGAAGGTCAAGGCCGCAGTGAGCCATGATCACACCACTGCACTCCAGCCTGGGCAACAAATCAAGACTCTGCCTCAGTTTACCTTAGGTGATCAGTTTGGCTGATTACAGCTGAAAAAGTGAGGAGAATCTGAAAATAATAACAATTTAAAAGAGAGATAAGGCCATTAGGAGGATAATACAACTCAATGCTTCTTATAGCAAGTTTCTTTCTTATTTTAATACATTGGAGAGAAAACATACCAAAACACAAAAATTATTTATATGGGAGCAATCCATCCCACAGAGTTGGTTGTAAATTCGGGAAAAAAAGAGAAAACTATCTGTTTCCACCACATTATAGAAAATAATTCTGTATAGCACAATTTTATCATTGAACAGTATCATTTCACAACCCCTCTCCATGAAGCAATTTATTGCAGAGTGGTCAGTTTATTTAGACATTAAAATTTAAAAATCAAAAACATAGCAGATTTCGGAAGATAAGGAAATGAGTGAAAAAGAATTAAGTCCATACTAACTGCTTCTCCCTAGAGAAATAACACCTTTTCAGTAAAATCTAAATATAGGTTTTTCTTTTATTTTGCTTTTCTCCTAGGGTACAGTAGACATGACATACCTTTTAAGGTCTCAATTATGGATTATCCCTGTATAACAGCTAAGACCAATTTTAAAAATATATCAAGCTAGTATAATTAAAGTTATTTTGGGTCTGACTAATTACAGTGTATAGTATGAAGATAAAACTGTTATTGTGTCATCTGTCTTTACATAGGAATCAGTTATAATTTATTATTTTTAAGTGAAAGAAACAACATAAATCCCCAATGAGTGGAGCTTCTAGGACCCAAGCATCTCTCCCCAAGGTTCCTGAGCCTTGCCACTTGGCAGCTGTAGTGTATTCAGGGTGTAAGAGCATCAAACTGGGGGCTTGTGGAAAAGGAAAGCAGAAGTGAGATTGCTCAGATCCACGTGTTCTAGGTAGGAGATGTAATTAGACCACAGCAGTAGCTGTGAAAACAGGGAGCTGTCAATGGAGTTGGCATCTCTTTTTGAGGTGGAAGCAGCATGATTTGATGATAGATTAGATTTCAATTAAAATTGAATCTTCCAAAGACTTATAAAAGATCCAAGAAAGCAATGCTTCTAAACCTAGTCTTATAAAATTAATGTGACACTCCAAATGTATCACTTTGAAAAGTTGCCTCAACTCTTTCATATTATATTCTCTTATATCTTTATAAAGGCACCCAAATACACTAACAATAGTTTAAAATAAGTATTATCAGGACCTACCCTAGGAACAGATGGAGTAGTAAGACCATGTGACGCCCCCATAGAATGTTCTTATCACTACTGTCCAGGGCTTGTCACTCTGAAATGTCACTGTTACCAGTGCCTTCAGGCATCTCTGGCAATATGATGAATTGAGATTATATGGACAGCTCCCTTTCCCAACCACCCACCTGCAATCTCTTACATGCTTACTATAAGAAATAAGCCTCCATGAGAGTATGAGCAGCCATAAGAAACAGGAGAATCAGCATTTCTAGGGCTGTAAATAATAGAACAACTTGAAATTGGGTTTAAAATGATTAAGAAATTGCTTCCTTTAAACTTGAAGTAAATTCACTTCTCTATTAAAATGCAAACAACCCTGGAAAGTATAATACTTTATATCTAAAAATTTAAAATATTGTTAGATAGACTTTAGTTCATAGAACTGAATTAATGACCATGGACCGCATGATCAGCTTTTTTGTTTTCTTTATTCATATTATATTGAATCTCCATAAACTTAACTAACCTTACAACTAGAACACTGACAATAACTCACACCTATCTCTCTGTTATTCTCTTATCCCATTGCCATCAATTTGCTTTTCAGATCATTCAGAGTTGAAGTTTATGAGAGTGGGATAAAGAATTAGCTATCTGAGATTAGGAGCTGAGATGTTTTGAAGGATAATAAAGGAAAAATAGGAGCACAAAGACAAATTTTTTCTACTTCAGAATTCAGTTAAGGGCTTCTTGCATACTTTACATCAACATATCAGTCAACATATGGACAACTAATTAAAATGACAGAAAAATTAAAGTTTATTCCCCAAATTTTCTTTTTCTGAAAAATCATGAGTAGAAATTAAAGCAAGGTTGGTAGCACAAATTTCACTCAAAGCATTTCTTAGAAATAATAAACCACAGACTTTCATGTAGCTAGTCTAACTTCAATTAGATTCCCCCTGACAAATGCACTATCTCAACTAATTATAATCTTTGCATGCACGCAACTCCTACTGCTTCCAGTAATAACAACCATATGAATATAAAATATAAGATTTCCCACATCCAGCCATCTTTTTATATAGATATCTGTTTCAAATAGTCCTGGATTTACTATAACCAAAACTTTTTAAAATGAGAACCAATACTAAGATATACCTAACCAACATAACTCAGTCTGGAGATTTATGAGTGACCATGTTTTACATTTAAAGTTGGAAGTCATTAAAATATCATTTTTATCACTTACATCAAAATGTCATCTCCCACACTAATCCAGAAAAAAAGGGACAAAATAAGCACGTTCAAATTAATCTGGGAACATAAATTGCCAGTTATTATTTTTATATATATATTTATATATATTTACACGCACACACGTGTGTGTGTGTACACATTAGAAACAGAGTCTCTCTGTGTTGCCCAGACTACAGCGTAATTGCTATTTATAGCCATAATCATAGAGCACTGCAGCCTCCAGCTCCTGACCTCAAGAAATCCTCCTGCCTCGGCCACCCAAGTAGGTGGGTCTACAGGTGCACACCACTCCGCTCTGTTTAGCTAAGCATTTTTTATTAAGAACACAAAGGGAGGGCTCATGAGATTTCTTTATGAGGCAATTAAAAAAATTCTTCATTATATACTATATACATCAACCCTTTGCATAAAGTCTCTTCCAACATTTCCTATTAGAGAGGAGCTATTTTAAGTTCACACATACAACTATACAGGCTAGTTCTTTGGTGGGTACCTTTCCAGTATTGCTTAGTATTCAAGTGTCTTGCCTGAAAAAATACAGGGTGGTTGAACCTATTTTGATTGCTATTCATAACAATGTTTACATTTTATAGAAGAGCATCTATAATTTTCTACAATAGTCCTTTTTTCAGTTGTTATGTCAAAACAAATACAACTGGCATGAGAGAAGGGGATAAAATTTTATGCCATTGTCTTGTAATAATAAGACACCATTTCCTATATCAATTAGCACCTACACAAGTAAATTAATGGAAAAAAAGAACAGTACTTTAAAATGTACCAAGTTAGTTCCTTTTTCAGAAAAGAACTGGATTTAATTTTGGTCACTACACAAACAATTTAGTGTACAGTTCAATATTCCTTAAGGAGTATCAAGTAAATCAGTACCTAATCTATTGCTGCCCCAGAAGATTTGTAACACAGGTAAAGTGTATGTTCATCCCCCCTATTTTATATGTATCATTTATATATATATCAATATATAAGATTTCCCACATCCAGCCATCTTTTTATATAGATATCTGTTATATCTGTCATATATAGATATATACCAATATATAAATGATATATAAATGATTTATTGACATATAAATGATATATAAAATGATTTTATATATCAATATATAAATGATATATATAAAATGGGGGATGAACATATACTCTACCTGTTTTACAATTTATATCATTTATCAATTAATATATATATCATATATATGATACATATAAAATAGGGGGATGAATATATACTCTACCTGTTTTTATTAAATATATAAAATATATATAATATATTTTCCTTCCTCATCTTCCACTTCACTCTGGGTCCTCTTAGGCCTTGGTAACCACATGCTACCATCTTCTCAACCCATATACCCTTAACCTCACTACAAATGCCACATAATCGCTCACTTCTACAGTGTTTTTTTTAATCCCCCATTCTTGAAACCTGAGAAAACCCCAAATCCTAGAACCAAGATCTTAATAAACAAACTAAAATAGTATAACGTGTTGCCTCTCCAGTACTGCACACATTTTAAAAGGGAAGCTTCATTTTTTTTCTCCCGAGGAAATTTTTAAAAAGAATTCATTGCATTCTTTCAAAGGAAAATATATATATATATATATATATATATATATATATATATATATATGTGAGATTTTAAGCAAAATTTCAGTAAAAATTAAAAGTAAGTAAAGTACAGAAGTTAAAAAGAAGTAAACAATAAAATTGAAGAAAAATCCCAGGCAAGAAAGCCTCTTCACCACATGGCAGCTCTCTTATTTGTGTACTTTTAAGGCTTTCCATAGGTATGAGCACCAGCAAGCACCTCTCAGCCTTTCCTGGAGCCAGAATATATCCACACTGGCATCTTTCCCTCATGCTTACCAGGCTCTCTCTACCACCAACTTCATATCCACTTAGACATCTCCGCTCAGAACACTGGTCACTCCCTCAGGAAAGCCATTCATAACCTCCCAAACCAAGCCGATCTCCTCCCCATAATAAGCATGAGACATGCCATATACCACCCTTTTAAGCACTAGACACAGTTTGGATTATACATCTATTTGCTTGATTATTTAATTAAAGTACCATCCTATAAAATTCACAAAGGAATGAATCATGTTTCTTTGCTCATAAATTCATCTCTACCTCCTACAATTGTGTCTGGCACAGAATAGATGCTCAATAAATTACATGCTGGATAAATGAATGGTTTTGATGCATAATAGGAAATGCCACCCCATCAACTAACTAAAGACTGAACATTAATGTTTTGGCATCCCTTTTAACTCAATCTTACAAATATAAATTATTTCATTTACTTGGTGGCAAGCACAAAGGTGAGTAAGGTAACCTCTGCTCTCAAGGGGCTGATAGCCTGAAAATGGTGGAAGATATATAATTTAAAATGTGACTGCAACAACTGTTAATACAACTGACTGCTTAATATATATTAGCCACCGTTCTAGGCCTTTTGACCCTTACAACAACCCTATGATGGAGGTACTAGCATTAACTTGTACAGGATCACACAGGTTATATATGGAGGAATCAGGATTCTGATTCCAGTTGATCTGTGCCCGCAGCCATTATTCTTAGCATCAATACAACACTGCCTCTCCTGAGAATAAGAACATTATACAGCCTCATAAAAAGTTCTATGAAAATTCAGTATGTGGGAAACTTGCAAAAGAAAAACAATATTTTATTGGGCTTTGGATATTGGGTAAGAGATGCTCACCAGTAAAAAAATAGAGGAGGAAGACAATCCAGGCAAAGAGAATAGAAGACAACAAATCAGAGTCTTGAATATGCACTTATAATATATGTACCAAAATAGGTGCCAAACACCAGATCAGAGGGAGTGCTAAAAATCAGATAAAAATTAAATTAAGGCCAGGTGAAAGACTTTGAATCCTAGGTGAAAGTGTTTTAAGTTTATTTTTAGATGATGAGATAGCACTGAAAGATTTTAATCAAGTATTGGTTTTATTAGAATGATGTTTGACAAGTTCAGTTTAGGCAGACTGCAGGAACCTTGCTTGCTCTTCTGCCTCTCGATAACATTATTTCCACCACTGCCTTCAATTTCCACCTCAAGTATCAGCTCCTTAGGGAAGTCTTATCTAACCATGTCTCACCAACTTACTCAGACTCATCCTTTTAGTTTCTTATTTTCATAGTTCTCCTGGAGTTTTATTCTAACAGCTATCACAGCTTGCAATTATGTTCATGGGTAAACCAGAGTCCTGAGATAAGAAAGAGTTTGATTTCACATAAAATGGGAAGTTATCAATAGTTGAAGCCATAGTAATAAATGAGATAAACCAAGAATAACTTGTCAAGTGAAAGACAAAGAAGTGGACGAGAAATACCAGTAGAATACCATCACAGTGAGTTTAGGCAGAAGCAGATCCAGGGGAAATAGCCAAAAAAAGAATCCACGGAAGCAGACAGAAAACCAAGAAAGAGGTGTTCACATGGTAGGCAGGAGCTGTGATAATATCAAGGAGATATTGGTCTTAAGTGACAAATGCTATACAGAAATCAGATAAGAGGAAGAAAAAAACAGCAATAGATTTGTTTTTTTCCAGAATAACTCTTACTTACCATTTCTTATTTGCCTGTTTCTATCTAGAAAAGAGAAAAGAACCACCTGAGTAAAGGAAATCTGCAACTTGAACTCACTAAATAAGTTGGTATGTGGTGCAAAACTCAAGTCAATAACTTTAAAATTGACTTGCTCTTCATGGCATTAATGTAAACTGATGGGCAAGGTGGCCCTGCCTACAGCTTTGATTTTCAATACAAGATAAAAATCATTGCCATTGGTGATTTTTATCTCATATCATCAAAGGACAAAGCATAATACTTGATTTTCCCCTTTATTTAAGAAATCATCTGCTAAACTGATACCTGCAAAATCTCAAAACAATTTTTAAATTCTGATAAAATTAGATTCTGATCCACAGTGGTCTTGAATATAATTGTGGTTTGCCAACACTGCACAAATATGACTCATTTATCCAGCACTAAGCATTTCATAATATAAAAATAGTAGGAAGGGAATTACATTACAACATTTTATAAAAGTAATCATCCGTAACTAAGAATAATTAATAATAGACAACCCAAAACAAGAAAGAATTTCAAATTATTTACCATAAGCTAAAATATTGGGCAGTTGGGTAGAATTGAGCAGAAACAAGAAACATAAATAGAGCCTTAGCAAAATGATCAGACTAATTAAAATACATCCTGAAGAATAAAAGAAAAGAGACTTTTCAAAAGTACTATACTTTGTATGCTTTGTTTTCCCTATTATAATGTTTACAAGAAAAAGTAAAGGTGACAAATTTTCTATCAAAAATGGTGACATCTTTGAATACTGTAGAAACTTTTTTCTGTGTTTACAAATGTTGAGACAAATTCAAACTGTTGAGCAAATTCTTAGAAGCTTATCCAAAATTACATGAAAAAATATCTTCTAATTTTTAACTAATTTTAATAAATTCATTGCAATTTATAGATATTTCTATATAAATTATATATTTATACTTAACATATTTACATATGAAAATTTATATATTTATATGTACATATATTTATATAAACATTATAAATAAAAATGTATAATTATAAATCTTTTCATTATAAATATGAATATTTATAATTTATATAATTATATAGTTATATGAAATTACATATTTATATGTTTATATAGAATTACATGTATTTATATAAATTTCAGCTAATAGACAATATACTTTAATTACAGAAGTAAACAACTACTGAAAAAAATTAAGTCTACCATTAAGCATAGTATACCAATTCCATTTTTGATATTTTTGTTTCCAATCATTTAAAATAATTTCAAACTCAGTAAGTAATCTCATATTATAAAGACAAAGGACCAAAAGCAAGGATAAGGTAAGCTAGAGTTATGAGTACTCAAGTTACCTTGTAAACTACTAGAAATGCTGATCATTAATGCCTTGATCTGTATTATCTATGACCACACATTTTAAACTTTAGTAGGCCTTATTAAAACCCCCACTTTCAATTAAACAATCAGAACAATTTTAGACAGACTTAGATAGCTATGATTTTAGCAGTTACTTATCCACGTTTTGTTTAAGTAAATAAGATCACCTTCCAGCAGGTTATTCCAGTAATTTTTAACACTTTCAAGATCCAGGAAATCTAAAGTGCCACACTGAGCACGTAGGCAGCTGATGAAGGGAAAAGGGGTTTTATAAAAAGAAGTAAAATCACTTCCTGTGGTTAACATTTTAGAACCTAGCCCAGAACAGTCTGTACCAATATTGTGGGTTTGTTGGTATCTTATTTATGAGCATCGGAAACAGACTTGCTCTGGTGCCATGCTTTGAGTAGGATGCACGTGTGAGACAGATGGAACTTGTACTTCTATCAGATACAATTAAAGACTTACTGAATATACTGCCAAATACCACAAATATTAAACCATTTTAGAATAAGTTTACTATTGCTTTGACAGCAGTTTCAACAAAATAGTAGGTTATTCCAACAAATGAAAAGATTATTTTGAACCAGTAGAATTATTGCAATTTAAAATTTGATAGTTTGGTATAGCCTAATTTTATTAACAGAGTACAACCTACACAGATTTAAACTTAAGGATTTGACTTTAATAAAATGCATCAAGTTCTTGTATGTGAAAAATTGGGAAACAACTTTTAAATGAGCTATCCCAAGGAGAAATTAGTAAGTCAGAAGAGAACAGAGCCAAAGACTGAACACTGAATGAAGCTGCTTTCCATGGAATGGCAGATGCCACCAAGGAAGAAGGCCCAGGAGAATGCCTTTCTCTGATGGTATTCCACCATCTTCTGAGAATTTCTTCTTACAGTTGCCAAGTGCATCAGAGAGACTAGGTAGAATAGCAGGATAAAATAATCAATGGATTGATTAACTAGAAGTCACTTTTCATGCCAGTCAGGGCAATTTCACTTGAGATGGGAGTTCAATCCAGACTGTGGTGGGTTGTAGACTAAATAGAATTTTAGCTAAGTGTCCCTCCACCAAAAAATAAAATTTGAACTTATTTCAAAACAAAAATGCTAAAGTCCGTCATTCAAACAAACAAACAAAAAAAAAATGAAGTTAATAAAATAAGTAGGTTTCTAAATTCCTTAGAGCTAGACTAGCTATTAACGGCTAATTCATATAAATAAAATATGAGATGTGAATGGCAAGGTTTAGTGAGGACATATAAGATATATTTTGCTACCGTACTTTAGAGTATTTCAATCAAAGAAATGTTGTTTTTAATGCTCAGTGCTTATCCTAGGAAAAAAAATATCAAGAGGAAATTGAACTAAAATGGCAGAAGTAGCTCATGTACCTAAATCTCCATGTGCACGCACCCACCCATCTAAAATTAATAGAAACAAAAAATACTGAAAATGAATTAAATTTTTCCTCTTAACTATCAGAGATTTTCCACTTAGGTGAGTAGGAAAAAATCTAAGTAGATCCTGTTAAAAAGAGACATGCCTAAATCAAAATACAAAAAGGGAAAAAATAAAGGAATGAAAAAGATAAGCAAGGCAAATGTTAGTAATATGTACAGTAATGTTGAAATATTAGAAACATTATATTTAAAGCTAAATCATTACATGGAAAAAATATCTGTCAGTGTTATAAAAAGTAAAGTCATTTTGAAGCATATTATACTGTATTAGAATAAAGTACCCAATAAAAAACTACAACTAAACACGATGCATCCAAATTATTATAGCACCATTAAGAATTATGTTCGAGAAAAAGATTGAATGACATTTTTCCCTCAAACAAATATTTATTTTTTCTTTTTTCCAGCTTTGATTTTGGATTCAGAGGGAAAATGCACAGATGTGTTATATGGGTAAATCTCATGTTGTAGGGGTTTGATATTCAGATTATTTCACCACCCAGGTAATAAGCATGGTACCCAATAGGTAAGTTTTCTGTTCCCACCCTCTTCCCACCCTCAAGTAGGCCCTGGAATCTATTGTTCTGTTCTTTGTGTCCATGTGTACTCAGGGTTTAGTTCCCACTTATAAGTGAGAACATGCAGTGTTTTGTTTTCTGTTCCTGCATTAGTTTGCTTAGGATAATGGCCTCCAGCTCCATACATGTTGCTGCAAAGAACATGATCTCACTCTTGTTTATGGCTGTATAATATTCCATGTTGTATAGGTACCACATTTGCCTTATTCTGTCCACTATTGATGATGATTTAGATTGATTCCATGTATATGTTATTGTAAACAGTGCTGTGATGAACACATATGTGCCTTTGTCTTTAATAGTAGAATTATTTCTATTCCTTTGGGTATATCCCCTGTAATCCGATTGCTGAGTCAAATGGTAGTTCTATTTTAAGTTTTCCAAGGAATCTCCAAACTGCTTTCCACAGTGGCTGAACTAATTCATATTACCACTAGTGGTATGTAAATGTTCCCTGTTCTCCACAACCTCACCATCATCTGATTTTTTTTTTTACTTTTTAATAATAGCCATTCTGACTGGTATGAGATGGTATCTCATTATGATTTTTATTTGTATTTCTGTAATGATTAATGTTGAGCATTTTTTCATATGCTTGTTAGGCCACGTGTATGTCTTGTTTTGAGAGGTGTCTGTTTATGTCCTTTGCCCAATTTTTAATACTATTCTTTTTTGCTTGTTAATTTGTTTAAGTTCCTTATAGATTCTGGATATTAGACCTCTGTTGAATGCTAGTTTACAGATATTTTCTTACCTCCTGCAGGTTGTCTGTTTACTCTGCTGACAGTTTCATTTGCTATGCAGAAGCTCTTTAGTTTAATTAGGTTCCATTTGCCAATTTTCATTTTTGTTACCATTGCTTTTAGGGACTTAGTCATAATTTATTTGCCAAGTCTAATGTCCAGAATGGTAATTCCTCTGTTTCTTTCCAGTGTTTTTTTATAGTTTTAGATTTCACATTTAAGTCATTAATCCATCCTGAGTTGATTTTTGTATATGGTGAAGGGAAGGGGTCCAGTTTTAGTCTTCTGCATATAGCTAGCACCGTTTACTGAATGGGAATCTTTTCCTCACTGCTTGTTTTTGTCAACTTTATCAAAGATCAGATGGTTATAGGTGTATGGCTTTGTATCTGGGATCTCTAACCTGCTCCATTGGTCTATGTGTCTGTTTTCCTACCAGTACCATACTGTTTTGGTTACTGCAGCCTTGTAATATACTTCGAAGTTGGGTAGTATGATGCTTCTGGCTTTCTTCTTTTTGCTTAGGATTGCTTATGCTATTCAGTGTCTTTTTCAGTTCCATGTGACTTTTAGTATAGTTTTTTCTAATATTCAATTACTTTGAATGTTGTTCATAATATGCAGTAAGGCTAAAAAATAAGTTTCAAAGTGGAATGTATGGTATGATCTGAGTTTTAAATAGTATATAAAATATAAATTCATATATAAGGGGCAAAAAATGTAGGGTAAAAAAAGATATGAAAATACCCAAATGGTAACAAAATCACAGGCAATCTTTACTATGCCTGCTCATTTTTCTATAATATGTGTGTGTGTATATATATGCATACATATATCACTTTCATAAAAAGTTTTTTAATAAAAAGTTACCTTTAGAATAGTGAGAACTTACTTTATTTTGTAACCTACTTTAAAATTAGCATATTTTAATTTTATTGGCAGTGTTTCATTTATCAACACCAAGCAAGGAAATCTACATCAAGGAAATAACAAAAGTCATTTGCTAGTTACCAAAAATTACACTATTACTTTGAGAAACTCCTTATTTATTTGTTTGTTTTTAGAGATAATGTCTTAGTCTGTCTCTCAGGCTGCAGTGCAGTGGTGCGATCATAGCTCACTGCAGCCTTGAACTCCTGAGCTAAAGCAATCCTCCAGCCTCTGCCACCCCAGTAGTTAGGATTACAGGTGTGTGCCACCATGCCTGTTTATATAGTTTGCATGTGTGTCCCTACCCAAATCTCATGTTGAAATATAATAGCCAATGTTGAAGGTGGGGCCTGGTGGGAGGTGACTGGATTATGGGAGCAGATACCTCATGTATGGTTTAGCACCATAGCCTTTGGTGCTGTCTTTGTGATAGTAGGTTTTGTGATAGTAAGTTTCATGAGACATGATCATTTAAAACTGTGGCACCTACCTCCATCTCTCTTGCACGTACATTCACCATGTGATATGCCTACTCCCCCTCTGTCTTTTGCCATGATTCTAAGTTTCCTGAGGCCTCCCCAGAAGCCAAGCAGATGCCAGCATTATGCTTCCTGTATAGCCTGTGGAATGGTATGCCAATTAAACCTCTTTTCTTTATGAATTACCCAGTCTCTGGTATTTCTTTATAGGAATGTGAGAATGGCCTAATGCAGAAAATTGGTTCCAAGAAATGGGGCATTACCACGAAGATATTAGAAAATGTGAAAGCAGCTTTGGAACTGTGGAACAGGCAGAGGTTGGAAGAGTGCCAAGAGCTCAGAAGCTAGGAAGATCAGGGAAAGTTTGGAACTTTTTAGAGACTGCTTAAATGGTTATGACCAAAATGCTGATAGTGATATAGATAATGTAGGCCAGGCTGATGAGATCTCACATGGAAATGAGGAACTTATTGGGAACTGGAGCAAAGGTCACATGTGTTATGCCTTAGCAAAGACCCTGGCTGCATCGTGTTCATGCCCCAGGAATCTGTGGAAGTTTGAACCTAAGAACAATGACCTAGGGTATCTGGTAGAAGAAATTTCTAAGCAGCAAAGTGTTTAAGATGTGGTGTGGGTGTTTCTAACACACTCTACTCATCTGCAGGAGTAAAGAAATGAGTTAAAGTTGGAACTTATATTTAAAAGAGAAGCAGAGTGTAGACGTTTAAAAAATTTGCAGCCTGGCCATGTGGTAGAGAAAGAAACAGCTTTCTAGGGAGAGGAATTCAAGCAGGATATGCAGCCACCACTTGCTGGAGAAATTTGCATAACTAAAAAAAGGCAACTGCTAATAGGCAAGACAATGGGAAAAAGGCCTTGAAGTCATTTCAGAGATCTAAGAGGCAGCCCCCTCATCATAGGCCTTGAGGCCTAAGAGGACAGCATGGTTTCCTGGGTCAGGCCCAGGGCCCACTGCTCTGCACATCTTTGGGACACTGTCCCATTCATGCTGCTGTTCCAGCACCAGCCCTGGCTCAAAAGGGCAGAGGTACACCTCTGGTCACTGCTTATTTGGGTTGCCAGAGGGTCATGAGCAATGGTAAGTTGTACGTTTCCTGAGGCCTCCTTAGAAGCTGAGCAGATGCTAGTATCATGCTTCCTGTACAGCCAGCAGAACCATAAGCCAATTAAGCCTCTTCTCTGTATAAATTGCCCGGTCTTGGGTATTTCTTTATAGCAATGTGAGAATAGCGTAATACATCTAGCTAATTTTTTAAAACAAATTTTTTATAGAGATAGGGTTTGTGTTGTCCAGGCTGATCTCAAACGCCTGGCCTCAAGCTGTTTTCCTGCCTCAGTGTCCCAACATGGTGAGATCATAGGTGTGAGCCACTACACCTGCGGATAAACTTATCACAATAAAAATTTGATATGAATTGTAAAATAAATTAAGTAGAAAATTTAAAAAACCTTTTTCTAAATGAAGAGAAAATGGGTACATATAATTCTTTTTTTACCCACATTAATAATTTTACAGTAACCAAGAATTGGCTGCTAAATGTCTGAATGTTTCTTTATATGATTTCCTAAAATGTTGTTTTAAATATATAGGCAAAATTTGTTCTTGCTACACACCTTTTTTGCTATATAAGTATACATTTCAGGAAGGAAATTAGAGTTTCAACCAAATTCAATAGTTTTTCTCCTTCTCTTTCTTCTTGCTAACTTCATTATAAAACCTAAGTTAATACTATATTTTAGCATTGTGGAGAAACACCAAATCCACAAAATTTAGCCTGTCTATATATGCCTTAACAAAATCAAATAAAACTTAACATATGAACTGTGATTTCTTTTAAAACAGATGTAGTGAAATGGTTATATATCTTTCTTAGGCTATGTTGGAAAAAGTGCTGGAATTAAATTCAGATACTGGAATTAAGACTCTTCAAGACCCTTCATTACCATAATCACTTTGACTTCTGAGATTTAAGATGTAATGACTGACCTGCTAGAATTTGAACTTGTGTGGGGCCTGTAGCCCTCTCTTTTGGCTGATTTCTCCCTTTTGAAATGGGAATGTTTATACCCCCATTGTATCTTGGAAATAAGTAACTTGTATCAGAATAAATACTCAATATTTATAAAATAAATGGATAACATATTAATGTACCCAACATAATTGACATTTACTACTCAACATAAAATTATATTTAAGCTGAGATGGGGAGGATGAGGAGCCATACCTATAGAACGTGCCACAGAACAATCTAAGTAGAGGGAAAAGAAATCATAGTTAAAATTGGAACACACTCTGGGTATGAAGAACTGAAAGGAGGCTAGGGTGGCCAGAGGGTTGTGAGCAAGAACCAAATGCTGTGAGACAGAAGGAAAATTAGGCAACTGTCAGATCATCTAGAGTCTAATATAACTGGTGCAAAGACTTTAGATATTTACATATAACAGGAAGCCAAGAAAAGGTTTTAAGCAAGGAAGTTAACTTGTCAGATATATGTTGTTTAAAGAAATGTATACTGCCTATTATGTGAAATAATCTAGGAGAGCTAAAAATGGGAATAGTTAACATACTTTGACAGTGAGTTGGTCTAGGATAGTGCGAAGAGCTGGTGGGAAGATAGTGAGGATAATGGGAAGAGCTTGAGATACATTTTGAAGGTAGAACCAATAGGACTTGCTGATATGTTAAATGTGAGATATGTGACAAAGAAAGGAATCTAGGGTCTCTTTTGGACAGGAACCAGCTGATTCAGAAATGCTGAGATGGGAAGAACAGGAAGAAGAGCATGGAGGTGGGATTCACTCTGCTAACTTCAAGAATATGAGATAGAGGCCAGGCGCGGTGGCTCACGCCTGTAATCCCAGCACTTTGGGAGGCCGAGGCGGGTGGATCATGAGGTCAGGAGATCGAGACCATCCTGGCTAACAAGGTGAAACCCCGTCTCTACTAAAAATACAAAAAATTAGCCGGGCGTGGTGGCGGGCGCCTGTAGTCCCAGCTACTCGGGAGGCTGAGGCAGGAGAATGGCGTGAACCCGGGAAGCGGAGCTTGTAGTGAGCCGAGATTGCGCCACTGCAGTCCGCAGTCTGGCCTGGGCGACAGAGCGAGACTCCGTCTCAAAAAAAAAAAAAAAAAAAAAAAAAAAGAATATGAGATAGAAAAGAGACAGATATCCCAGAAGAGCTAGATATAAATTTAAGTCACTAGCGTTTGAGTAGTCTGTAGCTATGGTATTGAATATGAATTCTAAATGCTCTTCAAAGAATTAATATGTCAGTATGATCAATTCTTTGCCTTCTACTTTTAAACTTAACTTCCTCATAAAGCAACCTTTTTCGATTACCTACTCCACCCTGACTCTTTCCTATCACCTGCTCTACTCTAACTCATTCTGATCACCTGCTCCACCCTAACTCATTCCAATTACCTGCTATCTGCTCTGCCCTGACTCCGCCAAAGCACTCATCCCATCATCTTTAAATTAGCCAATTGGAATTTGTTTAGCCTGTGAGATCTAACCCTAGCCAATAGGGGAATGACACAGTAGCAGGGGCCACGTGCATCAGGGATAAGAATCCCTTCCTCTCCCTTGTCCAAATGTGCACCCACCATCGGTGAGTGTGCACCCTTCTACAGAAGTACCTTGCCTTGCTGATAATTAAAAGAAAGTTTTATATTCAAGTGCTATTTCTTTTGTGGCACTGAAACTTTATTTATAACAATGGGAATGCATAATATGTGCAGTTAAAGAGGATAACTATAACTATTATATACACCTTATACACCTTAATGATTGGCAAAAGACTGTGTCAAGCATGTCTTTTTGTTCTGATGCTTCAGTGTCTGGAGTCTTGTTGACTCTACAGAGGCTGCCCCTCCTAGGGCTAACCACTTCCTGGAGATAGGAGATAACTCACCTGACTGTGTACTTTGTATATGCAAACCAAGCCACTAAAAGGCCACAACCCTCCTAACAGCCTCCTTTATCGGGCTCTCACTGAGCTCTCACACTCCAGGCCACCATCCCACAGTCTCCATCACCCCAGGGCCTGCTGAAATTATTCAAACTAGCCAATCCTAAGCCTGCTTACTCAGTCTTGCTTTGCCTTTCCTGTAGAAACCATGATAAAGGCCTTTGCCCAGGAGAAAACCCTTCCTCCTAGGAACTGTAAGCAACAAGTCATCTTTTCAATGGTGAATGTCTCATGATCTGTTGGCCTCACCATACCTTAATAATAATAAAACCTGTATTTTAAACAGACATTTTAGATGCATGAAAATGTGTCTTGAAAATTCTAGTGTTATTAAATAATTATGTATCATACTATACCAAGTTGCATTTCTCTGACTCCATACACTTCCCAAGTCCCTATATTTTCTCTTACATAAAAACTCTGCTTTTAAACTCCTGTTAGTCCCATCTATTTTACCTGGATCCTCAAAACTGCTAGCTTATCATGATGAGCCATCATATGTTTATTTACTCTCACAAACATTCCTATCATTAATTCTGACAGTGCATTGACAAAGACATTGTTGATGAAAAGAGTCGAAATCTGTAAAATATCTGAAGAGATTTATTCTGAGCCAAATATAAGTGACCATGGCCCATGACATAGCCC
Source organism: Homo sapiens (assembly GCF_000001405.40). Classification (NCBI taxonomy): domain Eukaryota; kingdom Metazoa; phylum Chordata; class Mammalia; order Primates; family Hominidae; genus Homo; species Homo sapiens. Next base: position 80,492,282 of record NC_000004.12, on the reverse strand, counting down.
TCAGGAAGTCCGTCCTGAGAACACGTGCCCAAGGTGGTCGGGGCACAGCTTGGTTTTATAGACGTTAGAGAGGCATGAGACATCACTCAAATACATTTAAGAAATGCATTGGTTTGGCCCAGAAAGGTGGAACAACTCAAAGTCGGGAGGCTTCCAGGCTATAGGTGAATTTAAATATTTTCTGGTTGACAATTGGTTGAGTTTGTCTAAAGATCTGGATAGACAAAAACGGTTAAGATAAAGATTAAGGTAAAATAAGATACAGATTGTGGAGACCAAAGTTCTTTTGAAGTCTTATAGTGGCTGCCCTTAGAGACAATAGGTGACAAAAGTTTCCTATTCAGATCTTAGTTAATCTCTTTAGGATTGGAAGGGTCTGGAAGAAGAAGATTTAGCTATGTTAATAGAGATTCTTTACAGAAGCAGATTTTCTCTCAGAAAGAACAGCTTTGCAGGGCCATTTCAAAATATGGCAAAGAAACATGTTTTGGGGTAAAATATTTTGATTTTCCTTTTTGTCTCATAATGTTATGGCCAGAGTCAGTCTGGAAAGTAAATCATGATATATATGGTTAAATAAAACCCATCTGATGAGAATTTCTGATTTATAGGGCATGACTCCCCAGACCCCTTAGATAGGAATTTGGGCAAGAAAAAAAAAATCAGAGTTTAGTCCTCAACATTAACCTAAACCATTTGGTGAGAACAGAAAGTGAAAGTTTCCCAAAGTTACCAGAGCTGGGTAATATTGTGTTTATCTGAATACAACAAAAAATTCCTTTAAATAGAGAAAGAAATCGGCTATATTATCTGTAAGTCCTATTTATGAATGTGGACAATTGTATTTGGATATATATGTATATACGTTGCTCTTACATATTTTCCAGAAAATAATTTTTTTAAAAGCCTGAAAAAAACACTATTGCTGAAATGTTTTTATCAACTGGCATTCAGAATTCTAAGTTTAATTTACTACCTTTATTTTATGAACATTTAAAACTTATAGAAAATCTGGTGTTTAATCTATATTAATTCTATTTTTAAACGATAAAACTATCCTTATAATGTTTTAAAAGTCTTGCTTAGTAAAATAATCATTACATAAAATGTGGGTCTTTTCTGAAAAGCATATTACAGTTATTTTTATTACAGTTTAATAATTTTGATTCAAGCTGAATGATATCTATATTTTAAACATATTAAAGCATTTTGTGTTAGAATATTTTTACTTTTGGCAAATGTAAAATGTTCATTTTTTTTCAAGCAGAATGACAAACTACTTGAGCACTGTTGAAACTAATTTTTGTCTTTCCTAAAATGGAGAGGTAAGTAAGATGGATTAATCACACACACACATAATCCTGTTCCAAGAAATACTGTAGAAATCAAAATTTATACAATAAAAAGTAATAGGTGAATTATGTCTTTGAAAAGACAGTAATCCCTTCTGCAGAAAAATTTTACTGAGTTATTGAATTGTTATAATAGCTTAAGTCTCATACTTATTCACTACTTAATGCATTGAATTTCAAACTGTGGGATTTTTAAAAAGCCAAATATATGTGTTTTGTAAAGTGATTTAAACTTTAAGTGAAAAAAATTATATCCATGAAAGCTTGTTAAATGTTAAGAATGTAAGTTATACTATTTCTGTAAGAATATGTAAGTTATACTATTTCTACAAGAATAATAATAGGATGTAAACCCTATTGGTTCAGCATTTATTCACTGACAGATTATAATGTGGGACCTCTTCTGGTATGAGAGATTCACAGTGAACAAGACAGAGGAGCTTTCTGTACTCACAGATCTCATATTCTATGGGATGGATGTTGAAAACATCAAGTCAAAAGTGTGCGGTAATTTGTGGAAGTCAAGAGGATCAATAAGAGAGACAAGTATAGGCAGGTATTATTTAAAGAATAGCTCGAAATTACTAAATTGATTATTTTGCATTTTTTGGTGACATACATTTTTTTCAAAGTATTCCACATAATTGAAAAAGTCACTGCACTAAAGCAGCACCTAGAAATGGAGAAGAGAGGCCAAGCTATGTGAATGTCTAAAAACCACTTGAGAATTGGTATCTAAAAAGAAAGTTTTGCTTACTAGAGTTTTACAGCATATAAGAGGTAACATGGATCATGATAAAGTCAAGTTACAATTAGGAGGACAATTAATATCTGAAGCAGCTGGCTGGTCACTTACGCGGGTTGTCTCAGCCTCCTGTCGCAGGCTCAGGAGATACTAATTTCTGCTAACCAACCCCCAAGAGACTAATGTAAGCCAGATACCTAATTTGACACGGGAGTTATAACTGTCAAGTAAACTAGTAAATTTGCATCAGCTAATAAATCACCTTGTTTCTTCAAAACAGGAAATTCTATGAAGGAAGCAAATTTAAAATCAGGAAGTTACTTCAATGGCCATGGTTCTAACAGAAATAGATGAACAATCTTAATGGTCAACAAAAACAAAATTATAATTAGTAGTCTGAGAGATCATAACGATATGCATGTGTCAAGTAGACTGGTAAGTTTAAGTGCTATGGTACAACAGTCAGAGAAACTGAATTTCAAAATTTATTACACAAAAGCACTAACCTATCACTGTTAGGTAGGTATCAGAGGCAGAGAAATGAACTCTGATTTTTGCAGGAGAGATGAGGAGGTCAGCTGTCTGAATTAAAGTGCTTCATTATACATAAACTTGGCTCATCATACGTCTTTCCCTAGGCACTCTTTGATGTAGCCCAGATAGAGGAAGGGCTATTTTTGTTTTCTAAATTTGCATTTGTTGTTTTCCATATTATCTCGTCTTCTGTGATCCTAACCAAAGTTGAAACTTCATTCAGTAATAGACTCTCTGAATTTCCATGCTGCCGTAAGTGGAATTTCTGATACATTGACCACCACCTCCTTCCCTGGTTGGCAATGAAAGAAAATTGCCAACTTTAGGGCTTACCAAGATCAGGTAATGCGTGAGAAGCTGCAGCCATTTCAATGGCAGCTCCCAATTCAAAACCACAAGATGAAATTGTTTTAAAAATAGTAAAAATACCTTCAGAGACATCTTGTTGGAAAATTAAGGTCCACATTGTCCAACTAGCAAATACCTAGTCATTGCTAGACCCATCTCCAGGAAGAACATAAAAAAGTAGAAAAAAAAATTCAGAGAGGACACAACCACCTTGGTTCCTTTAAGGTTCTATTAAGTCTAAATAAAGCTTATTTCTCTTAAGGACAAGGAATATGAAGTAATTTCTTTTGTTTCAGACAACACTAAAGGTGAATCAGTACAAAGGATCCAGGCAGAAGATCTTGTGTACAGAAGCATCTAGGAAGGCCACCAGAAAGAGCATGTGTTATAGTACCCACTCTGAATACTGCTGGGAGACACAAACGTTTTTTTTGCCATCCAACTCCAGATTCCATGCTGAACCACCATTCTTTGAACAGAGTTCTTCCTTTGCATAAAATATAACATACTCAGTTAGGAGTGGTTACCGGCCGGGTGCGGTGGCTCACGCCTGTAATCCCAGCACTTTGGGAGGCCAAGGTGGGCGGATCACAAGGTCAGGAGATCGAGACCATCCTGGCTAACACGGTGAAACCCCGTCTCTATTAAGAATACAAAAACAAATTAGCCAGGTGTGGTGGCTGGTGCCTTTAGTCCCAGCTACTAGGGAGGCTGGGGCAGCAGGATGGCATGAACCTGGGAGGAGAAACTTGCAGCAAGCCAAGATCATGCCACTGCACTCCAGCCTGGGCAACAGAGTGAGACTCCATCTCAAAAAAAAAAAAAAAAAGGTGTTTACCATGCTATTTTGTTTGTTGTTTTCTTCTTTACCTATCACAGAGGCTGGCACATAGTATGAAATATTGAATAATCACTAATGAATAAATTAAGTTGATGATGCCTAAAATTTCTCAGTTGCAATCACGGTTCAGTCTCATATTTCTGAGACAATATTCCAGTACTCTTAATTGGAATCTTTGTGTATTTCCAAAACCTCTGGGGATTCCTCCACACCCCATTCTCTTGCATTACTTCTGCGGCAGTGGGGGGCTGTAGTGTTTGTGTCCATTTTACTACTTAAAACATATGAAAGCTTAATGTACTTTAACATTCCTAGAGATCTCATCACAGATTAATTTGTATACCAATAGGCAACAGTACTTTGTCCAAATCATTATTTTACATTTTATCTATATTAGTATTTTGTCCAAGATTATTATTAACTTTTGGTATCAAGCCTATTTGTGGTCATGATGTTTTAAAAACTAGCATGCATAAGAATTTGGAGGTGCTATATGCTATACCACCAGTTTCTATTAGAAATACAGAAAACAGACAGGGTACTGAACCATCATTACTTTTCCATCTATCACATATTCCCATCGATGACTAATTAGCAGAACAATGTGAGAGAAGTATTGAATCATGAACCTATGGCTCTTTGCTGGCCATCTCCCTTCTGTTAATGTAAGTTATTTTAGGCCTAAGTATGTAATAACTTAGAGTCTTGATAGTTGCAATGCAGGAAAAACATATGAGTATTGATTATGAACAAAACAGAGAAATTCAGATTCGATGCACTCAGCTTCCATACTTATTCCTCTTTTTTCATCCCTGTGGTGCACACACAGCTTGATCTCCCTAAACCTCTTGAATAATCCTTGCTGATGTTAATAACCAAAATGCTTAGCTAAAAAGGGCTAAATCAGACCCCTCTCTGCCTTCTAGACTCCAAGGAAGTAACTTAAGGAGAATATGGTGAATGGGCAGCCATCCCTTTCCTCTTTCTCCCCAAGTTGCCTTTTGGAGAGTCTAACAAAAACTATGGCACAAGATACTAGAAAGAGATCGATGATCTGCTCCTCAGTCTTGTCTAATAGTCAAAACTGATAGCCTCTGTAAATTAAAATCCCACAGATAACATTATTTTTAAGAATTAAAATACCTGCTGAGAAGTGATACAGTGCTACATACTTGGAGAGTAAGACCATTTTGAATGTTACATTCACCAGTAAATTAAGAAAAGCAATTTCAAAGACTTAAGGGGAGTTCTCATTAGAAATGGTATATATAAAATTCTCCCACAGAAATTCTTGTTAAAGGGAGTTGAGTTATTTTATGCTAGTTTCCGGAAAGGTTAAAGGAGTTGAATCAAATTTACTTCATTGTTAAGGTATTTTAAATATAATATATAGGCCTTGATTCTAACTAAATTCACAGTGGTCTCCAGGAGTTGAAGAGGTTGTGAACTCAAGCACTACTCTCAGAGAAGCTGGCTGGCTTCTAGCACAAAAAGTCTTCTCCCACTTTGAGCCACACTACTGTGCATTACTGACATTTAATCTCTTGGCTACCCTGGGACATTGTGTAGAAACCCAAACACAACTAATGAGGGCCCCAGCCAATGCTGGCCACTAGACTAAATGCAGGTGGGCTTTTTAACGGATCTGTGAATCAAAGCTGCCCCCTACAGAGGCTATAGAAACTGAGACTCAAAAAACTTTTAGAGCTACCCAGGCAGAGGCATTGGTCATATGTATGCCTCGGGGCAGCCAAGATGTAGTCAACCTTCAGGTAGGGTGTACTGACAGAGATACACAGTGCTGAGGCCTGGGATATTTCTCTTTAGAAAGCACAAGAACCCTAACGGGGTGAGAGAAGGCACATTTTGTTTTCTTATTGCATTGCATCCTCACAGATCAATCAAATTAATGTCTTTTTCCCCAAGAGAAGAATGTTTGGGCTATTTTTCTGGCAACCAAAGACAAGTCACCTAGAGATCCTGAAAGTCCTAAAACTCAATATTAGGGCTAGAACTTTTTCCTTTAGCAGCCAAACCTGAACAAGAACTTCTCTGTATCCTGGGTTTGGTGAGCAAGGGCTAAGTAGAACCCCCACATTTTGGAATCTGCATCTCAGAAGCATGTTTCAGAAAACACAGCTACAATTTGACCCCTAGGCAGGCAGCCCTGGGTGTAGAAATTACTGGCATTTGCAGGCTTCCTCTAGAAAACAAGGGTAGTGAGAGGCACTTAGTGCCCTTCCAGAAATGCAGCTTCACACATTGTCTCCATTTCCACTACTAACTTGTGGACACCAAGTAACCAAATATTATTTAAGACCAAGCAAGCAGAACTTAATAGTCATTCATGTGGCTAGGTTAGAATTTCAGCTGGGTGTGGTGGCATGTTCCTGTACACCCAGCTACTTGGGAGGCTAAGGCGGGAGAATCACTTGAGGCCAGGAGTTTGAGTCCAGCCTGAGCAACGCAGCCAAACCACAACTCTAAAAAAATAAATATATAATAAAAAGTAAAACAGAATTTAGCGACTAGGTTTAAATTACATGGACTATAATGCTTCATAATGAAAATTAAATCTAGATTATTAGTGGCTAAGGCATTGTAGCAGAGAGCAAAAAATGCATTATGAAGAATGAAATTAAAAGGGCCTTTACTACGTATGTGAAAATGCATAATTTTGATGCATTAAAATATATTCAGATAAAGACTTAATGTTTTTAGTTAACATTGACATATTTGCTTCATCTATCCTTTTTTCTTTCCTTTTCTCTTTAGCTCTCTATTATCTTAAAGCAAATCCTTCAAATAATGCCATTTTTCCTTTAAACATTTATATAGTATGACAAAAATACATTTTGTTACATAATTACAATTAACACACCTACCAAAATTGGTAAGATCCCATTAGTATTATTTAATATCAAATGTTATTCAAATTTCTCCCAATTATCTTCAGAAATGGCTTTTTATGGTTGATGTATTAAAGTTGTGATCATAACAAAGTCCACACATGTATTTTGGTTTCTGGAATTCTCTTTTAGTCAAGAACAACCCCCTTCCCAACCACCCAATCACTTATGCAAACCATTGACTTAGAGAAATTGGATTGGTTGTCCTGAGAATACCTCACATTCTGAATTTTTCTGATTGCTTCTTCTTTTATAGTTCAATTTGTTTTATATATATATAAAATTTCATATATATTTTATTATATTTATACATATATGTATATATACATGTATAGAATGAAAATTGTAGTTAGAGCTAAGGGCTCTGTTAGGGTCAGATTCAACTTCTTAGTAAAAATACGTCATTGGTGGTGCTGTGAAATACATAAAGCATCATATCAGGAGAAAAAATGCCTAGCTGTCTCCACGTACTGATGTTAAGCCTAGCTGAGGAAAGCCTGGTCCTTCCATTATAAAGTTTCTTTCTCTTAATGGCCTTAACATTCATTGATGCTAGTGACTTATTCAATTGTTCAATAGAATTTCAAAATGCAATTTGCTAATGCTGTCATTCCTTCCATACTTTACAGCTGAGGTTTTTCTATAAGGAATGTTCTCTCATCATCTGGGGCATTTCTACCCTGAAACACATAGTTCACATAGGACACACAGGAAAAATATTTATTTTCCTCTATCACAACTATAAAAAATTAAAAAGTGGCTGTGTTAGTAGATGCCGACATCTGTACTAAGTTCTTATTATTTAAAATTTTCTATAATGAAACAATTTCTGCCATCAATATTCATTTATGCCTAATAAATGTACTAGTCTTAGCTTACATTTATAAAATATATTTTCAATACAACAATACATCTGAACAGTTTACTGAATATGATTTAGATGTTTTTAGTAAAAAGAAATCAATGCTTATATATGATCTATTCAATTATTCATTGTATTATGGCATTACAGTCACAGAGAAACTGAAGTTAACAATATTCAGTAGACAAAGTTTGTTAAGAAGTAAGGAATAATCTCAGCAAAGGATGGATAAGATATAGCAATAGGTCATTAAACATTTCATTTTCTTTGATAGAAGTTAATTAGGGAATGTAAAGTCGGCACTTCTAAATTGCTAACCGCCAGGTTATACAGGTATATGGGGAAAATATTTTATTTTTTTATGTCATCAAGAAAATGTTCTGAACAACTTCCAGAAGTTCTTTATTCATGAAATAAAATAATTTTTAAAAGTTATATGCTAATTCAGAGGCCGGAAAAATAATATTAGAAGTACTCACAATATACTATTGGTTAATCAAGTATCATTCCATACTAACTTCCTATAAATATTTCCAATAGGTATAATTGCCTCACTCGTTATTTCACCAGCTCTTTAGGGGTAAAAACGAAAATAACAAGGTAAATAAACACAAGCTAAAAGCAAATCACCTATCATTTTTAAAATCACTATGCTATATTAATACTTCTTCGGTATTTAAATGAAACTATCTTTTTTGCATTAAGAATTCATTCAAGTATGCCTTGTACCTATAAACTTCTGAGACAGTTAAAAAAGTTAATGCTTTCAACACTACTGCTAAAAAGTCAAATGTTACAATTGGCACTGAACAAAATAGCAATTCGAAAGTTTAAGTGTTCTAAGTATTTAAGTGTAAAAGAAAATGTTTTCACAAGAGATTCAAAGTTTCCTTAAATAATTAACAACAACAAAAATTGAAAGGTCTGAGTCTCTGATTTTCAAGGGTATGCATTTGGAACAAAAAGGAGAAGGCATGGAAAAAGTTGTAAGAACATTACTTTTAAAATATTTTCAACATTTGATGTATACCCTTTAGAACTGGCTGTTACAATCAAGTCCTGAAATTTTCTTAAATATTTTCATTCAGATTAAAAAAAATAGACCTCATACTTCCTCTGGCTATAACCTATATTTTAGTCTTGCTTTAAACCCACATTATACAAGATTATGGATATAATGGTTATAATGAAAACAAAATTGAGAATGATATCAAGATGATTTATATTTTAATCATAATCCAATGATAAGAATGAAAAATAAGAAATCATCAATACAATTCATGTAAAATTTAATTAGAAAGAGAATGATAAAATTACATCTGGTGTTATTAGTTTTCTCCTGCTATTATAATAAATTACCACCAACTTAGTGGTGTAAGGCAACATAAATTTCTTATCTTATAGTTCTACAGGTTAAGATTCTGTGAGAAAATCAATTGCCTTTCCTACCTTCTAGAGGTCACCAGCATTCCGTGGCATGTGGCTCCCTTCAGCCCTCAAAGCCAGCAATGGCAGGTCAAATCCTTCTCACATCAAACAACCCTGGCCTCTTTTTCTGCCCCCCTCCTCCACCTTTAAGAACCTTTGTGATTACATTGAATGCACCTGTATAATCCAAACTACTATCCCTAATTTAAGACCAGCTGCCTAGTAACCTTATTTCCATCTACAACCTTAGTTCCGTTTTGCTATGTAAGGTAACATAATCACAGGTTCCAGGGATTAGGATATGAACATCTTGGGGAAGGGAAGGTATTGTTCTGTCTACCACATCTCAGTTCTGTTTAAAGCACCTGCTTTGGAATTTACATATACACTACTAAATATATTGAAAAGACAAACGTTGAGGTAACATTATAATTCACTGAGACCTAGCGTTCAGCAAGAGACCTGATTCAAATTTTAGCTTCGGTATTTAATGTCTACTGGGTGGAGCATATTTTTGAATTTATCTAAGAAATGGGGACAATAATGCTTTGCAGAATTGTTGTTAGTATAAAGGTAAATTAGGTAAGAGCATGAGCACAGTGCCTGACTTAGTATAGTAAGTCCTCCAATACCAGCTAATATTATTCCATCACTGAAAACAATATAGTAATGCTACCTCTTCTAATTTCTGCCCAGAGAAGACTGTTTTCCTTCATCTATTCTCTACTGCTTTGTTTTTTTATTGCTGTAACTTGAACAATTTCTAAAATGCATAAGTTATTATAGCCTGCATGCCAAGATATTTTATCAAGTTTATGTGCTAAAATATTCTCATTTCTTGGATAACTTAAGAGCTTTCTTAGGAGAATTATAATGTTGAATGGTATTTTAATATTTCCAAAAAGAATACTTTATGGGTGATGTTATTAAATAAATGATAGACAAAAGTGACAATATTTCACTCTGAATTTTTCACATCCTCTAATACCTGTTCATGGTCAGAGAAAAGAGAAAAGGCAGTTATAGCCAGTACTGATTTTAATGCAAAGAGTTTAATGTGCACTTTCTCATTGATCTAGTATACATTTCTGGTAAAAGAATTTCAAGCATAATAAAATCTTTCCTTATATTCTATATTCCCAGATAGAATTGCCACCTGTGCAGTTATAGAGCCACTTTACAAGATTTTCTGACTCTTCCACTTTTTTTATTACTATCCAGTTTTAGATAGTAATCCTTTCTCATATAACCACTGAAATCATGTGCATTTCCATATTTTCTATATATACAAAAATACAAAAATATTCTCTCTTCACTTGATAAAAGCTCTTAATTAAATATTTGATATTGAATATTAGCCATGTACCAGGTCCTAAATTTAAACCAGGCTCACAATGGAAAATTCTTAGATAAAATAAATGGGAAAAAATATATGGTAGCACTACTATCACCATATATTAACTGGTAATAATTAATACATATAATAGCTCCAATATATGTTCTGTTTTCAGGATTAGAAGTAGGGATAGCTGACTTTTAGCCCCAGCTCTGCCTCTAATTAGTATGTAATTTTTAAACTAGTCAATTTTAGCCCTCAGGGTCACGCGGGGTTTCCTCAATCTGTAAAATAAGGAAATAAAGACGAGGTCTGTAAGCTCCCTTCCAGTTTTAAAATTTTATCAGCATTTGGTGGCTACAGTGAGTAATCCAAATTCTCGCAAGAAAAAAATTCCACATTATCAAAATTAGTTCATATGTGATTTAAAAAGCCAGTAAAATAGATGAATTTACTCTTTCAACAGAGTTTAAAAATATGCCTTTGGCTAAGCTGAGTACAACATCTGGCAATGAGTTTCAATTCTGTTCATTTTAAAAATCAATAGCTCACTAATATAAATAGATTTTAAAATATTGTATTATTTGCTATGCATTTAGGGAGATTTTATTGGTAGTGGTTGATAATTTTAGCACATTATTTTGTTTTTGTGGCATATGAAAAATTTCCAGAAACAACCAACTAGGAACTTCACTTCACAATAGCATTCTCATTGTCAATAGAGTACTGGTACCCTTGTCTGAACTATTGGCCTTTACTGCTCAGACCTAAAATCCATAGAAAGTCTGTTGGCTGCCTCTACTAAGTTTTTTTCAACACACTATTGTCTCTTCTTAGAAGTGTCTACGACTATGCTTGCCCAGTTGCCACATGTGATGTGATTTCTGCTTAAATGGCTTACAGCGATAAATGGTATAAAACATTATATGAATATAAAATAATATATAGCTTTGATAGTTTTTCAGGAATAATGAACACCTTTTTGGATATTAGTTACACTTTAAGGGTAGCACTTAATTATTTAGCTAATATATGAGCTAAATTAATACAGAATAATTTTAAAAATATTTTATGGGCAAATAGGTTTTTACATTGCAAACTGTTTGTAGACTGGGTTGAATTGCAAATGATCAGAAAAAATCAAGTACCAGAACTTCAGGAATTTTTCAACACATACTAACATTGAAAATTTATTCTGATAGAAATGTAGTATCCTGGGTATATAATCTTTTGAAACAGTTTATCCAGTTGTTATGAGTAAATTAAAATGGAGACTAGGCCTAAAAAATCTCTGAGCAGACAAAACTAATTAGGCCTTGAAAATAAGCTTAACCGTGCTTAAATTGCAAACCTAAGTGGAACTTAACTTGGACCATTTCTTGTAAATGCTTGAATTAGAGAAAAACAGAATTTAAACTCAACCAATCAGAAGTAGTCAACTAACATAGTTATATAACTAGGGACTTTCCAACAGAATAGACCAAATAAGACAACTGTATAACTGTAATCAAACAAATATTTTATTTGCTTTGCTTCCTTTTTCATCCTATAAAAGCCCCCTCTTTGCGTACCCTCTGCAGAGCTCCTAAACCACTTCTGGTTTGGAGTTACCTGATTCATGAATCACTATTTGCTCAAATAAACTCTTTAAAAAAAATTTTATTATGCCTCAGTTTACCTTTTAACACCATAAACAATAACAAGCAGTATCTTCACATTTTCCACCTAACATTTGTATGTAAAAATCTTTGGAGTACTATGTAACCCATGAGAAAGTATCCATAAGGAGCATTTTTGAAGAAAGGACACAATAAAAGGTTTTAAATCAACTTTTTTAAAAAAAAATGCACTGGTACATAAGGAAAAGAATATATTAAATAGGTATTGCCCAGGCCCACATTAAATTGCTACAGCTGCATATAACTATTTAAAAAAAACTTGAATACAACCATTAGCAGATACTTGGCTTGTGTAAATCAGAACATATGTTTTAGCTTTATGGTAATAGGCTGTGAGCTTTTTGTCACTTGGTCTCTTAAGACTTCCCAAAATGTGTTAATGTTCCAGGTGTCCACTTAATTCAGGACCAATATAAAGATTTTTTCTATCTAAAATTCCAAGATTTAGGCTAACTTTATTGAACGAAACAAGTTTCTTGGACAAAAGTAATGTAGCTCTGCATAATGTTACAATAAGCATTCTACATAATTACTTAAAATTTAACTATCTAGTGTGAATCCAATTAATGGATTTTTCACAATGTTCTTTATTATTTGAATAGATCAGTTTTCATTACAAATAATTCATTATCAGTCTGTTGCAAATGTTTGCACTTTTGACCAGAAATATGTCCTCATTTTACCTAACAATTGAAATTAATGATAGAAACATTTGATGTTTTTCCCCAGTGTATTCACATAATATAAAAAAGTGTTTTACCTGCTTTTTGTATGCATGTTGGCATATTTCAGTTTGATTGTCTTTAACCATCATTTCCCAAAGCTATTTGACTATTGGAATCCTTATATGCCATAAAAGCTATAAACCTCAAGGAGAAAATACTTTAAAAGCCTTGGGATGAAAGAGATACCTCCAAATTTTCTTTGTAAACTTAATTTCTAATTCTTAATTATTTTCAAAATCTTCATATTTTCACATTTTAAGTCCCTATGTCTCATTATTATTGTTTTCTTTTTTAACAGAAGATATGGTAAACTAGCAACCTTAACTTCAACTTTTATATAATCCAACTGCAATGCAGTAAATATTCACTAAGATACTGTGCTTGGCAGTGTAAAATTGTTATATCATTTCTTAGGTTTCACTTTGCTAGAATAAATAGACCAAAGCCCTACTATAATTTTTATATAAATTACAATTTATACCTATTTGATAATTCTTACGGAATTAATCTTTTAAAAAATAACTATAATCATCTTGAATTGTGATACTCAACACTAGCCTTATCAGTCTAATCAATGTAGTATACCCCATGTGTCAGGAGTTCCTTTAAACATTTAGACTTGTCTGAGATTGCTTCACATTCCTTTGTTAAGATAAAATTATTTAAAATGTATGCGAACCCATCATATGAACACCACCTCCCTCCCCACACCAAATACGACTTTAAAAAAAAAAAAACAGAGCACTCCACTATAACAATGTCTTTCACAGCAAAGTATTTTAGATCTTATTTTTTATTAAGACAAAGAGTCAAACTTTCCTGTTAGAAACATGTAAGGAAATAGAATCAACTCATACCCAACTACCATTTATGTGCAGAAGCAAAATGGTTTCACTGGGTATACATATTTATTAGAACTGAAAAATTATGTCAGGCCCTTTTTGATTTTGAATTTTCTGTAATTTTTTCTTTAATTTAGGCTTAATATTGTTTTTCAAAATGTGCATCATTTATTTGAGAAATTGCTAATTAAAAATAATTATAATGATAATTCATTAACTGCTTTAACTGCTAGAGGCCTGTGCTCACAAAACAAAAAAGAATTTTTAAATTTCAATTTATATGCCTTTTGTTATATATAAGTATGATAAAAGGCTATCAAACAAAAAAATTATAAAATAAAAGTCTGTGGGGTAAGTGGAATGGAAATAGAGTCAAGAAGAAACATGCATGATGAACAGCTTCAGCAATTACAGAGGAGCTTTTCTGTGTTTCTAAATGGAAAATAGTGGACATCATCTGTGGTATTTTAGCCTCCACTGGATACGTTTTAAAAGTTGGCATACAATACACCAGGTACGACATCCTTTATCACAATTTAAGTTATGGCAAAAATATTATATGTAAACTTAAATAATATATGAGGAAGGAGATAGTTTTTGAAAATTTTCTGGGGGAGTAAATGAGCAATAATGTTTGAGTTTAGGACAGCGGGAGAGTAAATAACTGCTCCAGGGAAATGAAATAGGATTGCAGAATCACTAAGGTCCATACTGGTTAGTGATCATGAAGTCAAAGTGAGACCAGTTCCATTTGCAGGTTTTTCTCTAGCCATTTGCAGCTCTGTAAGCACAGGTGTGGAGGGAGAAAAGAGCTGGGGTTTTCCAGGCAACAATAATAAAGCAAAATGTAGGAGCAAGTAAGTTGATAATGTCTGCCAGGGAACAATTATAATGATGGACCATAGAATCTAAACTAAGTAGGGGAGACAAATGGGAGAATAGAGACTATGAGAGAGTTTTAAAAGGTGGTAGGAACAGTAGGTGCTAGGTGTCGTGGAGTCAACAAATAAATCTAGAGAACTAAGGGGAGAATTATGGAAAGTTTAGTATTAGTGGTGACAAAGTAGAATGCTTGAAGTTGAGATTGTGGAAGGATTACAGATATTAGTAAATCAAGATCTAAGGTGTGATCGTGGGATAAGATGGATGTGCATGGCGGTGAACAAGCTCAATGAAGGAAAGGAGGGCCAAAGCCTGAGTGGCCAAAATGGAAAGCTTATCTCCATGAATACTGAATGACCAAGAGTTGCGACAGGCATAGGGATAAAGAGAGTGACAGAAAGCAAAGAAGCCTACAGATAACATCAAGAAGCAGAGGTGGGGTTGGATGTGGTGGCTCATGCCTGTAATCCCAACACTAGGGAGGCTGAGGTAGGCAAATTGCTTGAGCTCAGGAGTTCAAGACCAGTGTAGGCAACATACAGAAACCCTGTCTCTACAAAAAATACAAAAATTAGCTGGGCACAGTGGCATGTGCCTGTAGTCCCAACTACTTGGGGACTGAGGTGGGAGAATCGCTTGAGCTTGGGAGGTTGAGGCTGCAAGGCTGCAGTGAGCTATGATTGCACCTCCACACTCTAACTTGCTAGGCAACAGAATGAGACCCTGTCTCAAAAAAAAGAAGCAGAGATGGTAGAAGACATAGAAGATACAGTCTAAAGACATGATTTTCAAAGCTGGGAGGAAAGTTGGGGAAGACACACACACACACACACACACACGCATGCGCACACACACGCACACACACACAAAATGCCTGAGAAAAGCAGGCTCCAGGGATATGAAAGTGTAAAATCCACCATCATACTGGGGAGACAGTATCCTTAAGGAAGAGCCATCTGACAGTGAAGGGGTGACCAGAAAAGAGCTCCAGAGAGCACAGTGGAGGGGATCCAGAAATTGGATTGGAGATCCAGTCAGAAAAGGAGATGCACAAATGGAATGAAATTCCAGGGGATAAAAAACGCTGGAAATGCTGAGTTTCTGTATAACTGACACAAATAATGATGAAGAACACAATGAGATTAATCATGGGGACCCATTTAGACCCCCAGAGTTGGTATAAAAATTATAAAGTGTAAACATCTGAGCCAAAGAAGATGCAGAAAGAAATCTTATCTGAACCTTCCCAAAATAGCCCTCCAGAAAATGCAGTGCCATTAACTCCTCCCAGGAAGCTTCCTGGGAATTCTGCTGCCATGGAGATGGACTGCCTATTTCTATTAGTATCAAAAAGTCCAAATGAACCTTCCATACCTTCCCACTGAAGCCTCTCCCCACTGCAGCCACTACTGAATTTGGCATATAATCTCTAGCCATCCAGTGAGTTACTCATCACTAAGTATTCCCGTGTGTACCCTGTGCACACACAAATTAACCTTGTCTTTTCTCCTATTAATCTGTCTAGAGTCAGTTAATTTGTAGGCCCCAAATACTGGACCCAAGTTAGAAGAGAACAAGTTTCCCTCCCAACACTGTCAAGGCAGGGAGTGATGGTGAAGCTGTGAGTGCTAAGGAGGGTAAAGAGAATAGAGTAAGGGGTGAGGGAGATCTTTCCTTGAGTTTGGAGAATTCAAGAACTCCTTTTTCACTCTTACCAATGATGCTGTAGAGTTGCAGGAGAGACAGCATTATTACAGCACCATGTGAATCGTGTTTTACACAACTTATTAAAAGGATAGACTACTTGGCCTCACTGGAAACTACTAAGAGTTGAGCAACATTGTTGTTTACTGGCGTCTGGGTCGTCACATTCTCCTGGCTTTCACTCAGCCTCATTGAATCTTTTTCTCAGTCCCTTTCCTAGATCATCCTCTTCAACTGATCTCTAAATTTAGGAATATTCTAGGACTCTGTTCTTCACTCTCTAATTCAGCCTCTCTCCTTAGGGGTTCTTAATTAGTTTCATAGTTTTAAACACCAAATATTTGTTTGCGACACTTATCTATTTCTGAACGTACAACTCTAACCCTGACTTTATATTGAGTTTCAAACTCAGATATCAACAGTGGACTACCATCTTCACTTAGATGACATAAGCTACCTTGGTTTTAACATATCGAAAAGATATTCTTATTCCCTTCTTTCCAAGCCCCTAGAAGAGCCCATTCCTCTCTCAGTTGTCCTCATCTTCCAGTGTCAGTTAATGACACTACAATTTACCCAGTTGCTCAGGCCAAAAATAACTTGGATGTCTCAGTTAATCCTTCTCTTTCTTTCACTCTGCATAACTAATCCATCAGTATGTCCTGCCACTCTATTTCCAAAGAAATCATTCCTCATCCTGTCACAAACCACTTCCTCCACCACCTCCCTGGACCAAGCCACTACCATTTCTTGCCTGGGTACTACAGTATCCGGTAACTGGTCTGCCTGCTTCTATTTCTCCCCATAATCTGCACATTGCACTACAACCAGAGGGATCTTTTCAAATGCAAATGTGTTCATATCTACTGCCCTGTTTTAAACATTCTAAGCTAAATCTTTACATGGCCTTCAACTTCCATACCACACTGGCACCTGCCTACTGTTCTGGCCTCCACTCCTCTCTCCCTCTGCCCGAGCCACATGGCCTTCTCACTACCCCCCAACAGGCCACACTTACTCCCCTTCAAAGTCATTATTTCCTCTGTCTGGATACTCCTGAATCTTTGCAAGGCTCACTCTCTCAGCTGACAAACCTCTGCTGGGGCTTTCCCTAAATACACTGTATAAAATAATGTCCTTCACCTCAAGTCACCCAGTCACCTTTTTCGGCATTATTTTCTTCATAGTATCAATTATTACTTGAGATTACATTTTGAATTGATCTCATTACTTGTTTATGATCTCTCTTCCTCACTAGAATATAAGCCCCATGAACACAGGTACCACGTCTTTCTCACCACCGCATTCCTAGAACCTAGAATACTTCCATCAACAAATAATATTGTTGAATAAATTGATAGTCAATTTATAAACATATTCTTTACATTTTCATTATTTGTATTACTATAAAATACTGAATTTCAACTTCAGATTTATAAAACTCAATTTTATTCTTCTTTGCAGAGTGCAAAATATTTCTAACCTTACCCATCTTCCACATTCTATCATATGATATAAAACCATAGTTAAATTGTTTATCAAAGTATCTGAATGGGGAGATGTGGAAAATCATCTTAAAGTCCCAGCTGGGGTGGGATGGGGAATTCATGTTCAAATGAATTTTTGGACATTTTAAAAGTTTCAAATAAAAAATGAATTTATCTCAGATGGTTTGTTTTTGATAGATGAACATGGCAGTCATTTAACACATTACTTACCTTTAAATGTTCAGGAAACTGTCTTTAAATATATTGTCCCACCCAGAAAAATTTCAGGCAGAAAAGCCAGATTCCAATTATAAATTACTTTATTTCCATTTTTAGAAAAGAAATATTATTTGTCATGTTAGTAATCCAACTTCTTAGTCCTTTAAAAAGATTCATAATTAAATAGGTTAAAAGTATATATAAAATCACATTTATTAGATAAAATTTTGTTCAAATATTAGTGTCCAAATAAAAACATTTTTCTTATTCTCATTACTCAACATATTCCTCTGCATAATGAAGATGCTAATTTAATATTGGAGGACCTTGAGACATAAACCTAACATGAAATAATTAAATTGATTTAAACTTCAATTTTAAAATCATAATTTTTAAGTAGTCAAAATATATTTTAAATACCCAAAAGAATTATGTGACTGTAAAAGTTTTTAATAGTACAATTTTTTAGGTAGCCAAAGATATTTGTTTTAATGTAGTTATAATCAATGGTGGCTCATGCCTGTAATCCCAACACTTTGGGAGGCCAAGGTGGGAGGATTGCTTCAGCCCAGGAGTTTGAAACCAGCCTAGAAAACACAGTGAGATCCTGTCTCTACAAAAAATTTAAAAAACAAACAAACAAACAAAACAATTAGCCAGGTGTGGTGGTGCATGCCTGCAGTTGCAGCTAATCAGGAAGCTGAGGCGGGAAGAAGGCTTGAGCTTGGGAGGTTGAGGCTGCAGTGAGCTGTGATCGCACCACTGTACTCCAGCTTGGGCAACAAGGTGAGATCCTGTCTCAAAAAAAAAATCTATTTTTTTTTAATAAGGCTGAGCTCTTCCTATTTTACACAGAAAGAGCACAAAATCTATAAATAAAAGACATACTTCATGAGGGAGAGCTCGTCTCCCTAAAAAATTTACACATTAGATTTTTTTTTTTAAGCAGGAGACCATTTAAACAGATAAAAAGCTATAAAAGTTAAAATTAAACTTCAGGACCACTTGGGAAGGAATAATGATACTGGCCCTTGAACTTATTTTACTTAGTTTGTCTTAAAGAAATAAGTTATTGGCTTTGGGAATTCACACATACTCTTGTGCCTAGGATCTTCTTTTCCCTGATCCTCGCCTGGCTGATCGCTACTCATCTGTAAGGTCTCAGCTTGGCTGTATCCCCCTCTATGCAGGCTTTCCTGGCCCCACAACACCTGAGTTAGGGGTGCCTCCTCTGAGTTCCCAGGGCACTCTGAATTTCCCTTCTTGTATTTATGTAATATTGTATTGTAATGATCTACTTGCTTGCCTATGACCCCTGAGAAATCTTAAGCCCCTTGAGGGAAGGAGCTGATTATCTTCTTCACCAATGGTTCTGTCACAAAGCCCCTACTAACTAGCCTGTAATCATTTTTGTCATGATTCAATGAATTGAGTATCAATTAATCACCTGTATGGCAGATCCACCTGTAGGCTATAACTTAAGAAGAAGAATGTGTGTTCAGAGTTCTGCGCTAAGGAATCCAGGAGTAGCCAACCTGGAGATTCATTATTATCTATGAGGAACATCTGAATTACCCCCGTCCCGTGGAACATGGGCCATACAGGCAATTGAGGCTCTCCTTTGTTTTGGATTAAATGCATGTTGCCAGGTGGAGGTTGCTAGGGGGAGGGTGATAAGTGAAAATGCTACATAAACTGCATGCTTTTAATAAGTGGTTATGGTTCTCCTGTCCAGCCGGCTGCCACTCGACTGTCCTACGTGTAAGTTCCCTCAATAAATCCTATGTCTCATTCACTGGCTCTGGGTCTCTTCTTGGTCCTCACAAACATGGTGTTATCCCTGTTGAAGTCAATAGAGACCCAGCATGGCATCACCTCATTCACACTCACTATACCAGAATATAGAAATCAAAAGGCCAATGCATTCCCCTCTTTCATCCGTTGGGTTCTGACGGCAATAGCATAGTTTTTTTGGGGAAAATGATTAATTATGCGTCAAAGTTTTTATTAAAAAGGTAGCATCCCAAAACATTAACTGCCATTGCAATTGTGTTATAGAGTTCTTTCACTCTAATATATGTACCTGAAACCTAAGAAGCCTCAAAATACCATTACTCTCCTCCCCGCTTACTATCTACTTTACTAAATAACTTACTCATTTTAAGTCTGTAATCCCTACTTTCCAAGAGACACAAATGGGGGGAAATATCTTCAGTCTGTATAAAAGCAAAAGTTACATGAAAACAACTCCCTCTCCTGCCCCCTTTCTAAAAGTTCAACAGTATTTACAAGACATACTCAATTCTAGTTTAGGATTGAAGGAAATATCTGTGTAACTTTCTAAAATGAGTGAGATTCAACAAACCGATTTCTATTAAATTCCAAGCTTACGACTCCTAAGTCAACATTCTAACAGTGCTAGCTAGTGAAAGTGCAGGGGCAGTGTGGCTTGCCATGGCTGAAAGCAAACCGAAAGCTGCGAGTGAAGGATGGCCGCGGGTCAGTGCTGCCAAGGCCTCAATGTAAACACAGGTGTGTGGGAAGGAGTGCAAGCGCTCTCCCATCTCGCAGTTACAGAAACACTGGCAGTCACGCTGTGGAGTCTGAATGCTAAATTTCAAAAATATATCATTTTTGTAAAATTGATACACCTTATTTCACATGTTAATAATCCTCAATTTAAATGGCTCACAAGGCACACCTGAACCTTATATCATTGTTTTCAATTGCAAAATTAACAGATTTGAAAGCAGATCTTCACCCACCCCCCGCCACCCTGCTCCCCCCAACCCCCCTGCTCCCCCCCACCCCCACCCCCGCCCTGCTGAGTCTCTCCCTGCTGAGCAAAGTAGTCTGAAGTTATTACCACCTCATTTGCTGGCATTTAGCAAAGATTCTTTTTATGGTTGCACGAAATTAATGCCGCCAGATCTTTCCTGCCAAAGACTTTTAAATGGTGTAGCAGTACTATTTTAAGGCATAATATATAATGAATATGACAAACATTACCAATAAATATACCAATAACAATAATGTTTCTTAATTGGTTGGGTTTGGAAAACATTTTTCATTTTTAGGATGTTGCTTTTTGGTAGTTGTTATTTGTTTGAGGGGAGTTAATTTCATTTTCTGATACATCTGTTGTTATCAAACTAGTTAAAATAGTATATAATAACCTTGAGGGTAGTCAATGGTTATGAACACAGGTACTGAAGGCAGAGAGTCTGGGTTCATAATTTAGCTGACAATCTACTACTATGAGGCTTGAGCAATTTATGTAACTTCTCAAGTCTCAGATCTTCCTTTGTAAAATAGGGATAACAGTAATAACTCCCTGTACGAGGTTATTCTGTGGATAATTACATGACTCAATACACAAAAGCATTTAGTACAGTTCCTGGTAATAGTGCAAAATAAGTATTACTGTCCTTATCTCTTTATAATTAGGTTCAGTTTATTTCATTTAAACTTTATTTGGTATGGTTTCCAAACTGCTTGATTGTGTAATTGACAATAAAATGCAAAAATAAACATATTTGTAATTAATTTTTCTGCTGATACATATCTCACCCCTACCCTATCCTATTTTCTCAGTTTTGAAGATCTCTCTTGAGGCAATGTTCTGCTGGATGAAAGATGGCATTTGGGTCAAACAAAACAAAACAAAACCCTTCTGAAATGCACCCTTGAATTTCATGAATAGTATGTCATGCTATTAATCCTGATTCAAAAACTAAGTGACAAATTTTAAGTCAACACAGTCTCATAAAATTGACAAAATTGTCACATCCCCAATTGAAGTCGAAGAAAATAAAAACAAGTGTGGACCATTAAGTCACATCTAGTGACTCAGTAATGGATACATAAAATAGTTACATTTGCATAAGGTGTTTAAAAGTAACAAATTTCCAGGTAAGGTAATACATAAAATGATACCATGTTTGTAATGACAACATGAATTTGATTTATTAAAATATTGCCCTAGACTGTATTTTGAAACCCAGTAGAGTCATATACAACATAAGAAAGAAAACGAGAAGGTAGACTGAGAATTCATTCATATATTTTTTTCAACAAATAATATCTAGGCAACCAAAATTTTGTATACATCATCTTAAACTTGCCTAGTGCTTTGTGTTTACCAAGCATTTTTACATACATTTTCACAATCCATTGTGAGGGATCTGAACATAAGACATTTAGTAACATGTCCAAGGTGGCAGAGGCTGATTCTTGGTTTTCCTGAATACTGTCTAGTGCTTTTCTTCACTACTCTGTGGTACTACAGAAGCATTTTTCATTAGGCAAAAGAGAGGTAGAGAATGAGATAGCTGATGACCACAGAGAGGACACAAAGACATTCCTTCAGCGCAAATGGAGACTTTTCTAGTATTCTTAAGCAGAGTTCTTTTACTCAGTCAAATGATACACCTAGATTTTTTCTTGCTCAATTTTATGTTTTTACTAAGACAAAAAAAGTATGAGGAGCTTGTTTTTAAGGACTCATAAGGTAATTTTTTTTAAAGAAAAAGGATGAAAAGAACCAGGGAAAGGAGCAGGTAAATATACAAGAAGACTTACAATATTAATAGGACTGAGTGTCAAATTCAGCCCCGAGAATCTTAGCAGCCAAAGCAAAAATAACAGCATGATAAATTATAATTCTCATTAATAAAAATGAACAAGGATACCTTTTTCTTGAGCTATAAGACATTTATTCTGGCATTACACTCTTAAAGAAATTTCTCACCTGGTCTTTTGAATTGGAGACCCACAGATAATATTAAATGAGGACCTTTGCTAGTATCCCAACCTGGCATCCTTCTATATATTGTTAGTTTTTGTCAATACTATAATAATTAATATTATATTCATACTAATGCATAATTTTATGTTTTCATACAAAATATCATTTGAATTACATACTGTTAATATCCCCACTTAACAGATGAGAAAACTTAAGACAAATATGAAAATTTAGTAGCTTGCCCAGGGTCACATAAATAGTAAATACTAAATAACTATGTATCCTTTGTTACTCCTAAACCCACTTTCACTTTCAGATAAATACATTGCAGCACACTGGCAGTCAACTCCATGGCCAAAGCCCAGAACAATGGTTGTTGAATGTAAGCAGACATCAGAGTCACCTGGAAGACCTCTGAAAACATATCACAGGGATCCTCCATCAGTTTCTGTTTCAGTAAATCTAAGGTGTGGCCCAAGAATTTAAATTTTTAACAAATTCCCAGGTGATGCTGATGCTGCTGATTAAGGACCACATATTAAGAACCACTGGCCTGGAACTGTAAAGCTTCTAAATATATAGCACATTTAGTAGAGTATTTTTGCCGATTGCTTTTTTTTCTCAGATTTATTTGGCAATGTAGGTCTCTGTAGGTCCAGTTACTAAGAAAAAGAATAATGAAAGAGGAGGAGCCAGGAGACCCCTAGAAATATTATCTCTTCTAAAATCACATTTGCCAATGAGTTTTCTAAAACTAATAACTAATTCTCACTTTGGTTCTTACTGCCTTTTTTTTTTTTTTTTTTTTTGAGACAGAGTCTCGCTCTGTCACCCAGGCTGGAGTGCAATGTGTGATCTTGGCTCACTGCAACCTCTGCCTCCTGGGTTCAAGCGATTCTTCTGCCTCAGCCTCTCTAGTAGCTGGGATTACAGGCAGGCGCCAGCATGCCCGGCTAATTTTTGTATTTTTAGTAGAGATGGGGTTTCACCATATTGGCCAGGCTGGTCTTGAACTCCTGACTTCAAGTGATCCACCCACCTCAGCCTCCTAAAATGCTGGGATTACAGGCATGAGTCGCCATGCCCAGCCTCACTGCCTTTTATTAAAACAACATTATAGGCCAGGTGCAGTGGTCCACGCCTATAATCCCAGCACTTCGGGAGAACAAGGCGGGTGGAACACTTTGAGCTCAGGAGTTGAGACCAGCCTGGGCAACATGGGAAAACCCCATCTCTACTAAAAATACAAAAATTAGCCATGTGTGGTGGTGGGCACCTGTAATTCCAGCTACTCGGGAGGCTGAGGCTGGAGAATCACTTGAACCCAGGAGGCAGAGGTTGCAGTGAGCCGAGGTCAGGCCAGCCAGTGCACTCCAGCCTGGACGACAGAGCAAGATTCTGTCTCAAAAAAAAAAAAAAGAAATTATAACTTTGACATATTTTAATATTTTCTTTGCTCAATCTTACTTTATAAGTAAAAAATCCGGATTACATTTAAGGGCTAAAACAAAACAAGCAAGATTATACCTATGTAGGTATCAACACTTACTTTCTATAAATTTACTTTCATCCACTGATAGGGATGGTTTGGCTCTGTGTTCCCACCCAAATCTCATCTTCAGTTGTAATCCCCATAATCCCCACAGGTCAAGAGAAGGACTTGATGAGAGGTGATTAGATTATGGGGATAGTTTTCCCTATGATGTTCTCGTGATGAGTGAGTTCTCATGAGATCTGATGGTTTTATAAGGGCCTCTTCCCTCTTTGCTCTCTCTTCTTTCTCCTGTCACCAAGAATATCCTTGTTTCCCCTTTGCCTTCCACCATAATTGTAAGTTTCCTGAGATCTCCTCAGCCATGTGGAACTGAGTAAATTAAACCTCTTTCCTTTATAAATTACCCAGCCTTAGGTATTTCTTTATAGCAGTGTGAAAATGAACTAACACATCCACACCTGTATCATAGCACTTAGCATGAATATCTACATTATTTAATTTATATTACATATTCCATACTTGAAGAGCACACGAAAATATTCTTCTTCATATTGAACAAGAGGGACCCAGGTGAAGCTGTGACCTTAGAAGCCTGCCAGGTTGGGGCAAGGCAAGGAATTAAGGAACTCTTTCTTTGAAAAGATTGAGGAGGCGGGTGAGTTTACAATAAAGGTAGAGTGGGGAATGTTGGAAAGAGGAAGGGACTATTCATCTGTAGAGGAAATCTAGAGCAAAATGAAGATGAGTGAAAAAGGGAAATAAGGATTGACAAGCTTTGCATTTTAGGAAGTTGTAAGAATGGTACATCAAGGTATAGACTTAGAACAGCTTTGGCTGCTCTGCTTCAATCACCATCAATAGGCCCAAACCTAGAGAGGGTGGGAATGGGAAAGTCACGATTGATAGCATTTGCCAGTATCAGTGGTGTAAATACTTTCACCTTGACCAATTTCAAGCTGCTAGCAGACAACAAATATGAGAAGTGTCGTGCTCAATTGACTTGCAGGCTTGTGAATGCTGGCTCCAACATACTACTGCTCCAAACCCACCTTAAATGAAAACACAACCTAAGACAAAAAACAACAGGCTTTCTATTTAAACACAGGTTCAAGACCATAGCTCCATAGCCTTCAGCTAAACTATTGAATTTTAAATTCTACTATGTAAAATTGAGAGCCATCTCTCCCCTGTAATTGACAGAGAGGCATGAGATTACCTTTCATCAAGTTTCTCAACAAAACTTTGGCACACAGTTTTCTACCTTTTGGTACTGGCATACATCTCTGCTTGCTCTGACACTATCTATGGCAGTGCAAGGGCCTGACATGATGCAAGATTGCAAAAGCATGGGGTGAGAGGGCATCAATATGGTGGAAAAGATTACTTGAAGTCAGGGGCAGTGCCTATGCCCTGTGCAGATTAAGGAAAACAGGATTCAGGGACTGAGGGATGAAGAATACTGCTTTTGCTGACTCTGTGGTTTGGAGTAGGCTAAAGTTGGCTTCGATGAGACTAGAAGCAAAACAATTCGTCCAAGTGTGGAAGGCTTCCATGGCCATTTTTACCATCGTTTTAGTGCTGGTAAACAGTCCAGAAAAGGACTGTACCTCAAAACTAAGCCCTCAGGTTAAATGTTTTGAAATATGGCTCAAGATACTTTGCACTTATTTTAGATAGCCATGGATATTTGTTTTAAAAAAAGTTTTGAGGGAAACCTTCATAACTCTTCCTTTCTTCAAACATTTATAAGCAATTCCAATAGAATTTTTGGAACCTTAAAATAATCAGTTCTTTGGGTTAAAATAAAGTAACAATGAATACTTAGAGTGTTATTTCCATGACTTATATTTCCTTTTTATAAAAAGGTTCTAGAAAGATCTGGACTCAAAAAGGGCATTTAACTTGTACTTTATGCCATTTTTTACATTTAAGTAGATGCCATTCAGGTCGAAGGTGACATTACATCAAAGCTATTTTGTCCTTGATTATTAACTTATATGCAAAATCAGAAAATAATTTTGTTTTCTAAGGTTACCTGAATTGTTTTCAGATTTAAATTTAAAAATGTCAGCCAGGAGCCTGAAAACCTAGAAATTGCTGCACTTCTCTGGACCTCTGTGAAGATCTCTTTCTTCCCAGAAGTTATGGCTACCGAATGAAAGAAGAGTTTACATTTCTCTGAGTGTGAAATACAGCTTGGGGTTGTCCAGCTGCAATCCTCAGGGTTGTGAATGTTAATCACATGTAGTGTTTATTCCTTCAGCATTCCTTTTCTTGTTGTTTTCTTTGGGACCGTCTGCTTTAGAAACCCAGCTCACGTAGGTTCAATGAAAGAACAGCTCAAAGAGTGTTAAAATGTTGAGGACAAGCTCCAAAATGTGTTGGAAGTTTGTGATTCCTTATGTTTGTGTGTTTGGTCTGTTTGGTTTAGTTTTTTATTGTATGTCATTCTATTTCTCTTTTGGTTTTTTTCTCTTTCACTCTTCCAGGGCATGGGGTACATAGGGGTTTGGGAGGCCAAGGACCTATTTTAATTTCTCATAATATAGCAAGAGTTTTTAGAATGTGCACAAGATGGAAGGCTAGTGAAGAATATAGGAAGTTGTAGCACATGCATGGGTCCCTCACCGCTCCCCACAGTACATAACTGCAGGTTGCTCCTGGGATCTGTGGGGCATTGTGGAATCTGCCTCTATAACCCTCTGCAACCTTCTCCCTCTTGTCTGAGGTGACAAACCCTGCCCTTCTTTTCTCTGGCATTCCAGGGCTCTGAGACTCCTGAACAAAAGGAACCTCACTTACATCACCCTCCTCTCCTGCCAGCTTAGTCTGTAGTTCTGTTTAGAAGTTTTTATTTGATTTGTTTACTTATGAGTTTTCTAGCATTTTTAATTGAGTTATCCAAATTACAGTATCATATAAAGTAGAAATGTCAAATTCTATTTTTCTGTTTTCTTGACTTGCATCTGCTGGGAAGCAGGTTGAATACATACAATGAAAAGGGTAGTAATTTAAAAAAAACAACTGGGATTATTTAATAGGTTCCACACAGAAGAATTATATTCTACACATGCCCAAGAATTATAACATTTATCCTTATATAAATTATAACTAAAATTTGATTAATTCCTTAAAACAAGTAAGCCATGGAAAGTTAATTTTAACTGGAATTATAAAATAATTTATAACTTTAATACCATTCGTAAAGCATTATTCTTATAGAAGAGGAGAAAAATCCTGTCAGAGTAGAATATTAAATAACTTAAAAATAAAAGACATAAAAATATTCACTGAAATTCACAGGATCCTTGTTTTTCTATTAATTAATAATATTCCAGATACTTTTTTAATATAAAGCTCACTAGATGTCAAAATATTATGACAAGGTACAAGAAGCTATAAAATTTCTGGAGTTTACAGGTTGTATGTCATTTGGTCCAACTCACAGAAAGCTGAACACATTTAGAATTTATTAAAATGAATTATTTTAATACTACTAACTTTATCTACAAATGGCAAGAGCAAGAAAGAGTGTGTTTAAAAGGAAAGGTTAGAAAAATAACAGAAGTAAAACAAAAATGAGAAGTTTGCTAGTTTGCAGTTTATTTTTTAAGCCTTTGAAGTTTGGAATCCTGGATGAGATACTCCATCTGTAAAGCTCTGAAATGTTAGAAGCAAAGTTTTAAAAACTGGAAAATTAAAAGACACTCATGGCTATACCAGTTAGCATTTCAATGTTTTGAATGGCCAGTGAATGTCATCTTTTCTTACTTCCAGGTAAAAACATCCATTTTCTTAGTAGAAGCACAAAAGAGTAAAATCCATAGAAAATATAGCATCTAGTTTAATGTGCCTTGAATTATGCAACTGAGTTCCATTTCCTTTAGCTTCAGTCCTAGCAATGTAAGTAAATATTGCAGCAAGCAATTGGCGGTACAGTGATGTTAAGGATCTAGCAAACTTCCACATTTTTGGGGAGTTATAATTTGGTCTTAACATTTGTTTCAGGCTTAAACTTGGCATAGAAGTTCTTGATTGGAGAGTGCATTTAAAAAAAAAATTTACAAAATAAAGTCAAAATGAGTTTTCTTGTTATTTAGTCAAAGACAGCCAAAAATAACATGATTTTGGCTGAATATGGATACTTTTATGCATTTCTATTTAAAATCAGTTTTAACTTTAGAAATGAAATGTTGCAGACTTTTGTGGATAATGAAGAGCGGGTCCAGTTGGCAGAGCTTGAACGTTTGTGCATGTGAAGTTATACATGGAGTAATAATATTTCTTACTTATAGGAAAACATGACTTCAGTGAACTTCCCCTCTGTCTAGTATAATGTTATGGACTGAATTGTGGGCCCCAAAATTCATAGGTTGAAGCTCTAACCACCAATGTGACCTTATTTAGAGATAGGGCCTTTAGGGAGGAAATTATGGTTAAATAAGGTCATAAGGTTGGGACCCGAATCTGATAAGACTGGTACCAATTTTAGAAGAGACCATGTGAGGTCACAGCAAGAAGGCAGCCATCTACAAGCCAGGAAGAAGGTGTCACCAAAAACGAACCCTAACTGCACCATGAACTTGGACGTCTATGCACCAGAACTGTATAAAAATAAGTCTGTTATTTAAGTTACCCAGACTGTGTAGTATTTTGTTACGGCAGCCCAAACAGACTAATACATATAATATATGAAGAACTAGAAGGACCTAGGATCATTTCAACTAAATATTTATATGTAATCACATTAATATCATTTTTTGTTCATAAAATTCTTCACAGAGGATCCTTTGATGATATGTTCTTTCTTTGTGTAATTTTGCAGCATTCATTCTTAACTGACTCATTCTCATGTAGTGTTTTTTAAAATAGCCATTTGCTATAGGTGATTTTTAAAGTATTTCTCTTCTTGAGTGTTTAGGCTGATGTTTCCTTTGTTTTATAAAAGTTTTAATAAGTCTTGTGTTAAAAAGACATTAAAATTAAAAAAAAAAATCATTTTATTTGATTGAATGTTGCCCAGAAACAGGTTTTAGAGTTTTCTTCTGCCCCAATCACTGTTTTGGGGAAGCAGGCAATTTCTTTTCAAATATTTGCAACTACAAAACAAGACGATGTTCATAGTTCTCATTCTACTTTCAGTTTCATTTGGGTATTCATCTAGTCCTGATTCTGTTGTCTTGAGGGGTCAACTTCTCCTGTCCTGCCCTTACTATCTCATTCTCCAATATTCTAGACTGAAGTAATATGATTTTTTTTAAAAATCCCCTAAAATTTCCTATATATGCTGTTATTAGGACTTTGTCATTCATTGAGGAAAAAAACTAGAAAGAGGAAGAAGTTTTGCTGAGTAATAGACTAATGAGGGCCCTTTGGGACATGTTGAATTTGAAGCATCTCCAGATCACCCATCTCTGGATCACGTGGTTTGGTAAACAGATCTGAAGCTGGGCAGAGGTTTGAGCTGTTGTAAATTGGAAAAGCAAGGGTGGGATGAGATCACTTAGAATCTATGAAGACATAAGAAAGCAAATGAGTATGACTAGCAATTAATAGGCAAATAGATGGGGGTGGGGAAGGGATAGGGAGATAAAACCCAAACTCTGTGTCAGAGAAACATATTGGGGTGGAGGTGGGGAGTGACAACAAAATTGTATTTGTCAGAGAAAGACCTGAGGAGTGCTGGTTTAGCTTTTTATTAACTACAAAGTCTTTGTTGACGTTAGCAAGAACAGCTTAGTGGGGCAATGGGGACATAAGTCTAGCTGTGGTGGGTAGAGGAGTAGATTACTATAGTCTGCTCCGCCAGAATGGTTGCTCATGAAAGGAAGATAAATACAGCAGGAGCTAGAGGAGTATAAAGGTAGAGGGAGGTTTATTTACTTCATTTATTTTTTAATAAGAAGAGAATTGACTGACTATATACTAAGGGGAAAGTGTCAGTGAAAAGGAAGATGTTGAAAATACAAGAGAGAAAACGCATTTATCTTCTCATTTGAGACTATGGTTTTGAATGCCCATTTGTCTTGTACTGCACTAAGTGTTGGGGATCCAAGGTTGGATTAAATTAGCATGGTTACTGCCCTTTGGGAATCCCAGGATGGCCAAAGGATTTAGATTGGTAAATGAGATTAGAATCCAAGCGGAGTCATAAGCCTCAAGAAGAAGGAGAATGAGTTCCTCCATGGAACTGGGGTAAAGTGGTCATGATGAACACAGACATGTTTATAGATGGAGGGAAGTGGGCAGGAGTTTGAGGAAGTTCATACTTCAAGGTCTTTTCTAATTCTGTGATATAGGATGCAAATCCATATGTCCAAGTGAGGAAGTTCATAGTGAAGTGCAAAATAATAATTGAAGAAAATGAGAAAATGAAGCATTATGAAATACAGGATGATCCCTGAATATAACTGGTAAACCACCTAAAGTTTGTAAACCAAAAATAACATTCTAAGCACCTCAACCAACTGAATGGACCACTCCCTTAGCCAAGGGCATTCTAAAGTAAACCTGAAAAACTAGTTCAGGCCATAATGGGAATGGGTGCTCAGACATGCCTCATTATACATTCCTCCCTTGGGAATTCAGGCGCAGATGACCAGCAATTAACACTAAAACAGAGACCTTAAGGCTGACCAAACACTCCTTAGCAGTAAGATACCAACATGACAGACAGCAGGCCCTGAAAGAAATCTAAGTATTTTACCCCAATATATTTTGCCCAAAATATATTTCTTTGACATATCCAGACAGCAGACCCTGAAAGAAATCTAAGTATTTTATCCCAAAATATATTTCTTTGACATATTTTGAAATGGCCCTGTAAAGCTGTCTCTTGTGGGGAAAATCTACGTTCTGTAGAGAACCTCCTTTCTTTTTCCAGGTCTCTTCTTTGATCCAAGAGAGAATTAACTAAGAGTCTGGTATCTTTTTAGTTCTGCTAAGAGCTCTAACGCCTGCTACCTGGAGGCTTCATCTGCATGAAAAGACCAAAATTTCAGTCTCCACACCCCCTTATATTAACCTAGACATTCCTTTCTGTTGATTCCGGGTCTTTAGATAATAACTCTTTCAACCAATTGCCCATCAGAAAATCTTTGAATCTACCTATGACCTGGTAGCCCTTCCCACCTTTCTGGATCAAACCAATGTACATCTTACATGCATTAATTGATGCCATATGTCTCCCTAAAATGTATAAAATCAAGCTGTAGCCTGACCACCTTGGGCACATATTGTCAGGATTTCCTGGGGCTGTGTTATGAGCCATTGGTCATTCATATTTGGCTCAGAATAAGTCTCTTCAAATATTTTACAGAGTTTGACTTTTTTCTTTGGCAAGTTGAAGGTGGTAGATTTTGGGACAAATCCACATAATCGTGTGAATTTCTCCTTATATTCAATGGCAAACCAAGTATGAAAGAGAAAAGGCAAAGAATTGGATTTATCTTTGGTTACAATAACACTAGCTACACTAACAAACTTAGAAATATCAGTGGTTAAACACAACAGAATATTATTTCTTACGCATAAAAAAATCATCAACTAGTAATCGGATTGATTCCATGAAGGCAGTTAGGAAGCCATTAGTGAAGTTTTGGCCATCTTCAGCATGCAACTTTCATGAACATTTTGGGTGCTGTCATTCAGCAGATGAGGGGAGAAAGTGCAGGGTCTGGCCAGAGGTTGATAGCACATATAACTTTAAAAAAATTTCACCCCAAAATATATAATATTTGTTTGACATATTTCAAGATAGCTATTTAGAGTCTAAAAACACAAGAATAGCTAAAAGGTTGCCTTTTGTGAAGATTTGCATCTGTAGAGAAAAATCTGCATTGGTGAAATAAACAGCCAAGCTTTCCCTGGCACACCGGCTCCCCCTACCCCTCCTACCCCAAACTCCAGTGTCCAGATATAGGAAAGATTGGCTTGTGGAAGAGAGAGAATGAGAGTCTGACACTTTCAGGAGTCTGACAGAAACTTACTTTCTGAGCACTGCTACCTGTGAGGTTTCATCTGCATAACAAAACTGCCTTTGCCAGCTAAGGCCTCTCTTCTTCTCTCTCTCACATCACTTGTCTTGCCATGCTTCAAGCCCCTATTCTTTCTGTAACCTCAAGATGGTATAAAAACATCAACCATCTGGTTCTTTAAATTTTCATATTTTGTATAACTTCCATACACACCCTTGCATATTAATAAATTTTATGGCTTTTTCTATTAACCTGCCTTTTGTCAGCTGATTTTCAGTGAACCTTCAGAGGGCAAAAGGGAAGTTTTTCCTTGGCCTCTACAGTTTTGGTGCTGTGAGCAACACAATCACAACCACCCTGCTCTTTTGGAAGCCACAGTCAAGGGAACTCTGGACCTAACAAGCTGGCAGAAGGGTAAGAATTTCATACCAGTTAGATTTCCAGATGTCTGGTTGTGGAATCTGGTTGAGCTGATGGTAAAAATCAGTTTTTCTGTTTTTTTTCTTCATTAAGTTTAATATTGTTAGTGGCAGTGAATTTGTACAGGTCTACAGCAACCTGAATTCTTGCCTCGTCAGAAGAAAGAATTTGACTGAGGGGCATAAGGCAGAAGGAGAGACCAAGGCAAATTTTAGAGCAGGAGTGAAAGTTTATTAAAAAGCTTTAGAGAAGGAATGAAAGGAAGTAAAGTACACTTGGAAGAGAACAAGTGGGTGACTTGAGACATCAAGTGCACTGTTTGACCTTTGATGTGAGGTTTTACATGTTGGCATACTTCCGGCATCTTGCATCCCTTCTCCCCTGATTCTTCCCTTGGGGTGGGCTGTCTGCATGTGCAGAGGCCTGCTAGCACTTGGGAGAGTTTGTCTTCATAAGAAGCCTGGCTGGATGCAGTGACTCATGCCTGTAATTCTAGCACTTTGGGAGGCCTAAGTGGGAGGACTGCTAGAGGCCAGGAGTTCAAGATCAGCCTGGGCAACATAGGGAGACCCTATCTCTACAAAAAACTAAAATTGTTTTAATTAGCCAGGGCACGGTGATAATGCACCTGTAGTCCTAACTGTTAGGGAGGCTGAGGTGGGAGGATCTATTAAGCCCAAGAGTTTGAGGTTGCAGTGAGCTGTGAGTGCACCACTGCACTCCAGCCGGAATGATAGAGCAAGACCCTTTCTCTAAAAGATATTCATTAAAAAATTAAAAATTAAAAAAAAAGAAGTCCCATCCGCAAAGAGCTTTAATTGTCTCAACCAGGCTTGCTGCCTGGTTTTAGTCCTGGGAAAGTTCAATCCCAGGAGGGCCTACTCAGTGCCATAGATGAACAGATCTGTTATTGGGATACTGAAGACCCTGAACAAACAAACTGCATCCTTAATGGTCTGGGGCATTCGAAACCTTGCTATTTTAGCCTATTTCTGGGATTGAATTTTTGGGGAGATCCTGGAGGGGAAGGCTGCATCTTCTGTGCCCATTTTTAAAATGTCACATCCATAGTATTCTAAACCTGGAAAGTTACTTTTGGGACTTTCCATGCAGAAGTCTTATTTGGCTTGAATCACTAATAAAATAAATAAATTGGCTATATTTAAAAGAAAATGTTTTAGAGAGCTCTTGTCTTAAACAACCATCTTATAAATATAAAAAATACACAAAGAATACAGCCTTAGAAGCTCCCTTGGTGAGATTTTTTTAAAAAGGCAGAAAAAAGATTTTTTCAGAAATAAGATTTTTTTAAAAGTTAAAAACCTTTGTACACTCATATTGCCTGCCTTGGATCCCCTGTGGGATTTGCAAAAAGGCACTCCAGCCTGTAGTCCAGTAGCTGGCATTTGGCATGCGCCGCAGCCTGGGTTCCATTCCCAGACACGGAACTAGATTCTTCAAGATATAACTCCTTTAACTCAGGAAGAAAAAGAAACATTTGTAAAAATTAGTTTGAATTATTTGTTTTAAATGTATATTCATGTGACTCTTGAATTTTGGGGGCGCCCATTTGTTATTGATCCTTTTCCTTTCCATGAAGAGCTATTGTTTTTCCATTTTTCCCTGAGTCTCTCTTTCTTTTTTTTCTGGAGTATAAACGGGCTAAAAACTGAGCATTCAGAGCTGTGAGAATCAAAAAAATGGTGAAGGATGACAGCACTGAGAGTGACAAGTAAAACTAAGATCCAGGTGCCAAAGTTCTTGACAAAAACAAGAGATGGATTAATATGCCACAGGATAGAAATGGACGTCGGGAGTTAAGTCTCAAAGTAGAAGGCAGATTTTTACTGGAAAATGCAGAAGTAACGTTTCAGAAAATCAACAGTGAGCTACAAGCCCGGCAAAACATGGATAAATAAGTAGTCTCTATTGTAGATGGCTCCTAGAAAAATTATATCCTTGGCAGAGGGGGTTGGGGGACAGCTAGTTTCAGTTACAGCAAACGAACTGCATGGAGCATCCCATGAAAAATGAATGCTACAGTAGCATGTGGTTATAGAAGTCCCGAAAAACATCTTAAAATGCTCCAAGGTCAAGAAGAAACAGGCAAAATAGTGTTGGCTCAGGAGAGAAACTCTGACTACCAACCTTGGATTTTATAGCAATAGATTAGGAATCAATGGGAAGAATGAGAGAGATGAAAGTATCAAATAGATCTTTTACACATAAATTTGTTCCGGTGTCTTCTAAAAGTCACAGATGAATGGCATTTCTTGCCTCCATTCACATGGGCCATGGAAGCTGAGGGCTGCTCCTGTGACACATCCAAAGCACAGAATCTGTGGCACATGGCCTCACCCTCCATAACATAACATGATAACCTATTTGACTCTCTTCCCCACTTAAGGAAATTACCAAAAATAACTTTCCAACATGGCTCAATAATAATTTCAAGTTGATGTTATTAGGACGTAGGCTAATAACAAAGATACTTATTCAACTTCCCATATGATTTTTTTGTTGTGGAAAACGCTGCCTGCGGATCATCAATTGTTGTAATTCTTGTCCTTCAATTTAGTGGTTAATGGAATAGTTTATTTATACCCTACTTCAAAGTTGTATTTGAAGTGGCTAC
The DNA here is from genome assembly GCF_000001405.40 of Homo sapiens. Taxonomy (NCBI): domain Eukaryota; kingdom Metazoa; phylum Chordata; class Mammalia; order Primates; family Hominidae; genus Homo; species Homo sapiens. The sequence goes on along the minus strand of NC_000004.12, from coordinate 80,457,116 downwards.
ATTTTGGCATAATGCAAACTACTTGTGCTGTAAAAGTCTTCCATTTTTACATGTTCTCATGGTCTCTTTAATAATATAAATATTACCACTACCTATTTGCAGACAAAAACATCTGCGTTAAAAAAAAAAAAAAGCATTTGGAATGACTGATCTCCTCTTCCTCAAAATACTTTCCTCTGTTGGTATCCACAACACCGTAGCCTTTGTCTTCCTGGCTAAACCATCTCTAGCTCTGCCAGTTAGCTCTTCCTCATCTGTCAAACTTCTATGCATTGGAGTGTTGCAGGACTCATTCCTTGGAACTCTTTTCTATTTTATTCATTTACATGATTACATGCATGAGTCACAGATTAATGTCTCCAACCCAGACCTCTCCACTGAACTCCAACATGGTTATCCAACTGCCCTCTACATCTTTACTTGGATTTCTTCATGGTATCTCAAACTTGCTACATCTAAAATACAAACTCCAGATTCCAATCCTCCATGTATCCTTCTCTTATGGTCTATTTCATTCTCTATGTACTCAGGTAAAACCAAAGTCATCCTTGAGTCATCTTCTTCCTCATATCTCATATTCAAACCATCAGAAAATTCTTCCTGTTCTATCTTCAAAATATACCCAGAACCCAGACATCCCTCAGCACTTCCACCACTGTTATCATCCTAGTCCAAGCAGAACTTCCCCTTGCTTGGCTTATTACAAAGCCTCTCGCTGCTCTCCCTGCTTGCCTTCTTGTTCTCACTACAAACTATTCTTATTATAGCCAGAGGGAGATCCCTTTATATCAGATATCTGGACACTCCTCTGAGCAAAGCCCTCTAATGTCTTCATATCTCAAAAGTGAAAGGTACATTATGTCTTGCCATGAAGCTGCTCCACTCCCTTTATTTCTCTGGCCTCATTTTCTTTAAATCATCCCACTCCAGCCACACTCACCTCCTTGCTGTGTCCAAGCATGGGGTTTGGCTTTTCCTAACTATCTCATGGCTTGCTACCTTAGTTCATTAAGCTTTTTGCTCAAATGTCATCTTCTAAATAAGGCCTTTCTTGATCATCCTCTTTAAAACTACAACCCCACCCTAGCATCACCTTATCTCCTTTTCCTGCTTTATTTTTCTTCAAAGAATTTATGACCATCTATCATAGCATATCTTTTTTTTTATTTCTTTATTGTCTACCTTCCCCAACTAAAACATAAGCTCTGTGGATACATGGATTTTTTGTATGTTTTGATCACTACTGTATTCCTTGGTGCTTAATGACAGATATACAGTAGGTGCTCAATCAACACTAGATAATGAATGGGAAGAGCATAATTTATTAACATGTGAGTCATTGAATATTATAAACTGGTGACTGCCAAAATTCTTATCTGAAAATATTAACTTGAAAACCTTAAAGGTATTTTAAGAAGATACATGGTCTCTTGAGCTACATGCTACAAAATGAAATAGGTCACTCAATATCTTTTTTTTTTCACTCTCTACAAATTATCTTCAACTTCACTGTTCTTACTTTTGAATCTCTTCATTCCATCTATCTTTTTATAAATCCTTGTGTGCTCATTCTTGCTCTCAAAGTATTGCTTTGGCATAGTATTCTGTCCTAGTTTTTAAGAATATCAAATAAAATGTAAAAGTAAGGAGTGGAGTGGAGGGAGTTTATTAATATGTATGCAAAAATTCCTATATAATTCGAATAAGTATCTGTTTCATTTGTGCCCGTGAAACTGCCTTGACTAAAATTATAACAGTGAGAAAATTATGACAGTGAAAGAGACCTGACCTAACTGAATCCATCTTGGTTTTAACCTTGTTCATTCCTGGGTGTAGGCGAAACTAATTTTGGGAGGAACTTAGTTTATAGTTTAACTTTGAAACAAAAATGATAAGAGCCCTTTCCTGAAACAAACCCCCTTCTTGCCTGGGGACCAGACTGCCTTTGAAAGCCTAAGAAATTAGCCAGAAGATTAGAAATTATGGCTTAGGAGTTGCACAGCTAGAGGCCTCAAGATTTGAAACCTTGCTATCTGCTCCTAGGGGTAATATCATATTGTAAAACCTAAAATTGGTGCTTACGATATTTTTCAGACCCTGCACTCAGATCAGCTAGTGTCACCCAGATCAATAAACTGGCTCATCTGGTCTTGTGGCCCCCACACAGGAACTGACTTAGTGCAAGAGGCTTCAACTCCCTATGATTTCATCTCCAACCGGACCAGTCAACACTCCCCACTTCCCAACCCCCTACCCACCATGTTATCCTTAAAAACCCCAGTCTCTCAGTTTTCAGAAAGACTAATTTGAGTAACAATAAAACTCTGGTCTCCTATACAGCTGGCTCTGTGTGACTTAAACTCTTTCTCTCTTTCAATTCCCCTCTCTTGATAAACTGGCTCTGTCTGGGCAGCAGGCAAGAAAAACCTGCTGAGTGGTTACACCTGTGTGTACATTTATGGGCATTTTTAATGTCTATATTAGGTTTTCTTATGTTTCAATTTCCTCAAATGTCTGCCAAACCTTAGTTATCTTTACATATTTAGGAACAAGGCAATGAGAACCTAATTATATGGGCATGTGTGCCCGAGTGCTGGTGGGATTTTTTGGGGGTGAGCTGGTTCTCATGCCCAAGGACTCCTATATTCCAGAATTTGAGGTATTTGCTCTGGGCACCAACTTCAATACCAGCTGTCCATGTTCAATCCAGGCAGTCACTTTATCTGAAGACATGAACCTTCCAATATTTTGCCTAAATAATGTTCGCTGGTAGATATCTTGTTCACCATGTGAATCATAGGATTGTTGCGACCTCTGTCTATAGATTTCTAATGTCCTTGTTTTTCAACTCATGATTCACTTATGCTTTTCATCATACCTGGCATTCCTAAGTCTTGAGTCTCTCCAGGCAGCAAAGAAGATCACCTCCTCCCAGACTCTGGCCACTCTATCCTGCACCTTCCAATACCTCTCTCAAAACTGCTTTCTGCCTGCCAGAAAATTGCAAAAATTGTCAACCACTAACAGTCACCTCACATTATCTTCATTATGGAGTGTTTATACATTTTTTAAGCCTTGAAACTCAGGGGTCTGAGATGGTAAAGGACATAACAACACGTGATCAGTATGCTATCTTAAACCAATAATTTTCTCAGACCTTTAAAGCAACTATAAAGCTAAAATGCTAATGAATTACTAAATGGAAATGTGAAAATCACGCTTGCAAGATTATTATTATTATTATTATTATTATTATTATTATTATTATTATTATTTGAGACAGGGTCTCATTCTGTCACCCAGGCTGGAGTGTAGTGGTGAGATCTTGGCTCACCACTACCTCCACCTCCCAGACTCAAGCGATTCTCCTGCCTTGGCCTTCCGAGTAGCTGAGATTACAGGCACGCGCCAAGAAGCCTGGCTAATTTTTGTATTTTTAGTAGAGACGGGGTTTCACCATGTTGGCCAGGCTGGTCTCGAACTCCTGACCTCAAATGATCCACCCACCTCAGCCTCCCAAAGTGCTGGGATTACAGGCGTGAGCCACCATACCAGGCCACACGATTATTTTTAAGGGATAATTTGAAGAATGGGTATATGAAAAAAATTAAATTATTTAAAGCATTTCAGAAGCTTGTTAAAATTTACATTACCATGCCACACTACTAATTAAATTAGGGGTTATAAGACAGGATACATACACACTAAAATTTAAGAAGAAATAAAAGAATGATAAATGAGAACTCATGTCTTAGTTTGAATATTCGTAAAGGGATTTTAAATATCTCTACCTGAATACTCAGAGAAAACTCTGTTGCTTATTAAAAACCAAAATGTTTGTGATATGCAAGTCTCGGTAAACAAAAGCATGATCTTTTCCAATATGTTTTATGATTCTAAAAACTTTCCTTAAATATAAAAAAAAGGGATTGAGTTCTCACTGCTTACTTGACAGCCCTGCAGAATAATAGGAGAGTGCACATTATGTCAATCATATGAAACGTGATAATGTTGCAGTTTCTATGAGACTTACTCAAGGTTTTGGTTGACTCTCCAAGTCAGGCACGTTAATAACCTGTGACAATTTTAGTTTCTACTCTGCTCTCAATCCCTGTGCAAACACCAGGGGCTGCTTTAAACATTCAAAGTACAAATGCATCATCATGGCCATCTGTTTTTACTCCCATTTCTCATGATGTCTCTGACTTAACTAATGCAAACATCATTTTAAAAGTAATCATCATCAGAGTAGTGTGAATTGTTTTAAGTTAAATTCACATCTCTGAAGATGACTAATGGAAAACATCAATGCGGACGGATGTTTTCATTTGGGGAAATGTATCATATCCTTCAAACAAATCCCATAATCTACCCCCACAATTTCTACTGCTTAACAAAGTAATCAAGTAAAATATAATAATTTAATTGTATTATTTTTCCAACTTACTGTACCACATTGTTCTCATTCAGCTTGGTTTGACATCCCTTTTAATGTTAACTCTATTAACAATAGTGGCTTTAGCTCCAAAAGGCATTGAATTTCTATCATCTAAAATATACCAACCATCAGACTATTTTGTAAGTCTTTACCCAAATAGCAGTATGTTAACCTAACTTAGCTAGTTCTATACAGGATACCCATGGCCTTTGCAAACCTAAGAGAGCAATAAATTCTCTGAAGAAATTCTAAAAGCAATACTCTTCTCTTGCTCAGAAATGGCAGTAGCCAGAAAAAAACTAATTTGAATTCTCATGTCCTATAATTTATGGGTTGGGTGGATATCAAGATGAACAAATAGGGAATGAAATGAATACCTGAAGGCCTGTTGGTCGTAACAGAATGATGTAATGGATTGAAAGACACCGAGAGAGTCAGGCAAAGCCTACATGTTCCTTTAATGTAAGTAAAGGATTCAGGTTGCAACATTTTACTATATACACCAAATATGACCTGGCAGCACTCTGAGGTAGAGGTCAGGCTTCCCTGCCTCCAGGCCCCATAAAACATTCACTACCAGGATAATGTCTCTTTGGGGTGAAGATCTACTGTAGCCTTCAGGAAATTACCTTTATATTTCTACTAGTGGATTTATACATTCCCATCAACTGTTCCAAACTCAAGTAATGTGCCTACCTGCCAGTAGCTACAAGTTACAAGGTAACAATCTTAGCACATACCCTAGTGTTTACTATAGGACCTAGTGAAAGTCAGCTTCCCAGGAACAATTTTCTACAAACCAGACTCAGGCTTTAGATTTAATGGAATCTAATCTTTCACTGAATAATTATCAGCTCAGTGTTCAATCTTAAATTGAGCTCCATCTTGCCAATAGCATAGTTTGTTTAGAGTAATGTGTGAAGGTAAGGAGAAGACTGAATTAATCTAACCCATCTATCATTGTAACTTCCATTTAATTGTGTAAAACAGCCAAAAGAGGAAAGGAAATGAATCTATTATGTTGTCAAAAGATTCAAAGGAAACTTTAAATCAAGCATTAAGAAACTTAAGTGAATTTAGTTATTTTCAGTAGATAATACCATACTGTGTACTAGACAAAACTGTTTCACTTATCAGTACTGAATAATATAAAAATCTTTACTACATTGAGAAAATAAGCTCAATTAATTTTTAATAAGCTCTTATAGTGTACTCAGTTGCACTGATAGACCCCTATATTTTGAGCTGAATTCTGTCCTCTCAAAATTCATGTGTTTGTTGATGTCCTAACCCCAAAATGTGACTGTACTTGGAGATAGGACATTCAAAGAAGTAATTATTAAATAAAGTTGTAAGGGTGGGCCCTAATCCACTCTGACTGGTATTCTCATAACAAGAGAAAATTTGGACACACAAAGAGATATCAGCTATGTGCTTGCACAGAGGAAACACCACCTGAGGACACAGCAAGGAGGCAGCCATCCATCTGCGAGCCAGTGAGAGAGGCCTCAAAAGGACCAACCCTGCTCATACCTTGATCTTGGACTTCCAGCCTCCAAAACAGTAAGAAAATACATTTCTGTTGCTTAAGCCACCCACTCTGTGAGATTTTGTTGGCAGTCCTAGCAAGCTAATACCACCCTTATTCACTCAACAGATATTACCTGAATGTGATCATAGGCTGGATGGCTGCTACCTACAGGGCTGGGTACAAAATTGTTGAGAGGCCCCTCCTCTCACACACCCAAATGCTCTCTCTCTCTCTCTCACACACACACACACACACACACGGTATTAATCCATTATTTTTTAAATTCTTGCCTAACTCTGCTTGAGCAATGAATGTACTTCAGTATAAAGAAGTGCTCTGATTATATTTATTTCATTAAGTTGAAAATAATATTTTAACAACTAGGATTTTATTATACTCATCAGTTTTTAAAATCTCTTTTAATGTGAAATATAGTTCTATGGACAAACTTTGACATATATGAACATCTCAAATATTCAGAAATACTGTATTTCTGAATTCCAGAGTTTAAAAAGAATTCTTCATGTAAATCTTGTATGCTTTCCTGCAACCTAAACTAACCTAACCATCAGTGCACAAAGATATTTAGTATTTTTAATATTTCCCTAGTATTTCATTTGTTTCAGGTATTCCTTTACCACTTTAAATATTTTATTCCTAGTACTTTGATTTAGAGCTTCTTTGGAACAAATAATATTCTTCCAAGCATTTCTCTTCAGGGATTCTAAGCAATGTGATATTAAGTGAGCATAGTTATTACTTCTGTGGAGTCATCTATCTGCAATGAAAACTTCTTGATGTATTAATCTTCTGAACTCATGGTGCCTCGATTATATTTGGCACATATATCAATGCATTTATTAATAGTACTTTTTGAAAGGGAGAACTTTTCAATTCTCTTTCCTTCTTTGGTATCAAAGACATACATAGGCTGGTAAAATTAACAGTTCGCAGTTATATGAGGTATCTTGTTTTGTTTTGTTTACCCCTGGCTTTAGTCATTAATCCTCCACTGAGTTTTTTCAGTCAATTTAACACTGTTATAAGCAATCTCAAAATAATGCTTGGAAAAACATTGTGCCAATATAGATTACTTTGCTCCACTGCCTTACTGCATAGCTTTTCCAAGAAGATAGGACACTTAGGCAGAGGAAGAGAGAAATTACTGGAGCACAAAATAAGTAATTTGAGCTATTTCCCATTAGGTAGTTCAATTAGTGATGATGAATTTCATCTTGTGAATTAGATAACTTTCTAGCTTTGAGAAAGAAGTTGTACATTTTGGTGAGAAAATAATATTTATAAATATTAAATAAAATTAAACATAAAGTACTTAAGGAGATTATGGACCTTTCTGGCTTCAGAAAATTAATTTCTTAAAGTGTTCTTTCTAGGTTTTGGCATTCTTAGAAATGATACAAAACAGTCATAAAAAATTCAGAAATTAATTATATGGATAGTAAAATGGAAAATATTAATAAATTATTCATTATAATTCTAGAAAACTGAGAAAATATAAATATAACATGATCATAATTTAAAACGTTTTTTAAGAATGAAATTCTTGAATGTATTAAGCATATAATTCCCTTTGACAAAATGGTTAAGTGTTGTCCAGCTATTATGTGTTTTAGAAATAAACCCTCTAAACCTTGAAGTAAAAAAAAATGAAATTCCATCAAGAATCAGACTTGACTAATTGTTAATAACAACAGTTAATAAAGAAATAAGAAAAGATAGAATGAAGGTTGAGATAATAAAGAAAATAGTTCTGTTATTTATAAATAACTAATAAGTGATTAATAATAAAATTTAAAATGAAATAACAATGTGAAAATTCAGAGCAAAATAATTTCTAAGAAAAACTTAAGATTTTTAGTTGTACTTACATATATAATATTTCATCTCTATCCACAAAACATGGTGATTCAAATAATAGTCACACTGAAGCAGAAAAGTGAGCAAAAACTCTCCATGCCATTATTGAAACTTTGCCTAAAAATCAAAACGAAATACAGAAATGCATGTAGTACATGCATTTGGCTTGTTGGGATACAAGACCATCCGCAAAAGTATTTGGTATAATTTGTAAAGTGTGGCAGAAGAAGATGTAGAACTCCTGTCTTGACCTTAATCTCCAAGAAGTACATTAACTACTTTGCCTGATGCTTTTAATTAGGTTCTGCCCATGAGGAGGTAGGAGATTAGATGGCCACTTGGGATATATTTCTGTCCCAAGATCTATAACTACCTCATCATCTGCAGCACCAAGCACTTTCATTTAGAAAAATGTTTGGTAAGTTTCTATATTGCATATGTCATAATTTCATTAGGATATTCTTTTTCTAAAACCCTGCAATTTGAATCCTAAGAATTACTTGAAGCTGAAAATAAAGTATTATACCTGTTGAAATTGAGTTCAGAGATGTGGTTTTTTTTTTATTATGTTCAATGTCACTAACACCTAAACACAGCAGAAAACTCTGTGCTCTCAGCCTTAAGTACTGGTGATTGTACCAATTTTCAGAGAGGATCTAGATCTCTTAGTAAGAGAAGAAAAAAGAACTTTTCTAAGCATTTATGTTAAAAGAAAATTTAAGGTTTAATAGAGTTAGTGGCATAATAGAGCTGGTGGCATTTTCAATATCATATTTATATAATAAGAAAATACAAATGGATATTTACCACTAAATAGTATTATATTAAATAGCATCCCAAAGATAGACTCAAATAACCATATAATTAATTTTAACACCTTCAGAAAACTTCTCAAACTTACTATTGTATAAATAGGATGATGATTATAGTTTGTGATCAGATGAATACTAGCAGGAACTAGGCATTCTTAAATGCTAAGTAATACTGAATCAGCAGTCACCCATATAGCTCCTAAGATTTTCTGACATTTTCAACACCAGACACAACCCAGCTGCTGACATGTACCATGGAGTGCACTAAAGGTGAATAAAGAGGTTGCCCAGAAGAAAACTCACTTTATTTGACTGGGGAGAAATAAAGTCTGCAATATTGCCACGAAGTGGGGTAATCTGAGCAGAGAGAATGCATTGACAGTGTACAACATACAGATCTGTTCTACAGATTGCTGACTGCTGGTGCCTAAAACATGGTGGTGGGAGTGCCAATGAGTGAGGCTGCACAGATCCACAAATGCTAGATCATATAAAGCCTTGTGTGCCATGCTAAGGAGCTTGAATTTATCTCAAAAAGCCAGTGGTATAATTGCATTAGAGAAATGTCTTGGTACAATTTGCACTATTAAAAGATTAAACTGGCCAGAGTATAGAAAACTGACTAGAAAAGCGGGGATGGGGATGGGGTGGGAGGATTATGTCAAAATTTAAAGCAAGAAGACTGTTAGTAAAACTGCAATTGTTGGCCGGGCATGGTGGCTCACACCCGTAATCTTAGCACTTTGGGAGGCCGAGGCAGGCAGATCACCTGAGGTCAGGAGTTTCAGACCAGCCTGGCCAAAATGGTGAAACCCCATCTCTACTAAACATAAAAATTAGCAGGGCATGGTGGCGCATACCTGTAGTCCCAGCTACATGGGACTGAGGCAGGGGAACCGCTACAAGCTGAGGCAGGAGAACCGCTTGAATCCAGGAGGCGGAGGTTGCAGTGAGCTGAGATCACGCCACTGCACTCCATCCTGGGTGACAGAGCAAGACTCTGTCTTAAAAAACAAACAAATAGGCCGGGCGCGGTGGCTCACGCCTGTAATCCCAGCACTTTGGGAGGCCGAGGCGGGCGGATCACGAGGTCAGGAGATCGAGACCATCCCGGCTAAAACGGTGAAACCCCGTCTCTACTAAAAATACAAAAAATTAGCCGGGCGTAGTGGCGGGCGCCTGTAGTCCCAGCTACTTGGGAGGCTGAGGCAGGAGAATGGCGTGAACCCGGGAGGCGGAGCTTGCAGTGAGCCGAGATCCCGCCACTGCACTCCAGCCTGGGTGACAGAGCGAGACTCCGTCTCAAAAAAAAAAAAAAAAAAAAAAACAAAAAAAAAACAAATAAAAAGCAAAAACAAAAACAAAGAAACACTACCATTGTTAATCACATAAGAGAGGGTAAGTGCCTACTTATAAAAGCAGTAGGTAAAAAATATTACAAGTAGAATCAACAGACCTTGGTGAATAGTTTTGTTGATTGAGATTATGTAAAAAAAAATTCCTGAACCATGATGCTTACTTAATCTTTTACTGAATTGCAAAACCCTTTGCAAATCTGAAAAGCCACGATCCATAAAAATGCACACATAAAATCCACATTTTGATGAGTTGACTGATCTCCTGAGAAACTATTATTAAATTTCTGGGTTAAGAGTCATTGATAGAAGTTTTCTTTCAAATTTCTATCTTGAGTGACTAAATAGACTGTAATGCTACCAGGTGAGAAATGTAATAGAGTTGGTGGCAGAAATTTGGGAAGGAGAAAATCAGTTCAGTCTTACAATGTGATGTTTGAGGTCCCTAATGCAGAAAGTAATGGATAGAAGACAGCTGTATTTCTGGATCTAGAACTCAAAAGAAGGATCTAAGCTGGAAAAAAAATGGCTCAAAGGCCCAAATAGTATAATAAATGACAGTGAAAAGGATAAGATTACTTAAGTAGAGGATAGAATTATGGAAGCTGTCAATTAGATGTGGTGGATGCTGTCATGTGCCAAACAGATCTTGCTTACAGAAATGGAAGACTTATTTCAACATTTCTGAGATTGCTGTTGGCAGATAGTCCTCAACTGTCAGCCTCTTGGGAATTTCCTCTGGTTGAAGAGCATTGTCTTGTACAAGTCCTTGCCCCCTTCCTGCATTGAATGGCTATATCCAATGACTGCTTGATGCAGGAATAAAAAGTGCTGCCACTTTCCCCTGACCCTCCCCTATACATCCTCTACACACACAAATATGGACAACTGCAGAGTTCCACAGGTGGTTGGCTGAGGCCTTCACTGATTGACACAACACCTATGCCTTTTCCTCTTCCCAGTCCTGAATCCTTCCTCTCTCTTCTTCCTCATTGCTCTCAAATGAAGCATTCCCTAATACATGTCAAGCATGCTAATCTCCATCTCAAAATCTTCCTCCTGGCCACTCCAGCACGCAGCATAAATATCAAAGGGAGAGACACCATTTCAAACTTTCAGGCGGAGTGAAAGAATAAAAGACCTGAAAGTTTTTAAAGAGGCCAATTCAACACCACATACACACATCTTTAGCATACAATGCCAACTCAGTTATTTATTACTGTAATAAACCATATTAACTATGTCAAAGAAAATCATACGATCTCAATAGATGCCAACAAATTATGTATAACAAAATTCATCTTCTATTCTTGAATTTTTAAACTTTTAGTAGCACAGAAGTACATATTTGCTTAATCTGATAAAAATATATGACTCAAAACAAATAAGCAAACTATGCTTAATGATGATACTTTAAATGTTTTTTTTTTAATATACTTTAAGTTCTGGGATACATGTGCAGAATGTGCAAGTTTCTTACATAGGTATACATGTGCCATGGTGGTTTGCTCCACGCATCAACCCGTCATCTACATTAGGTATTTTTCTTAACACTATCCCTCCCCTTTCCCCCAACCCCTGACAGGCCTCGGTGTATGACATTCCCCTCCCTGTGTCCATGTGTTCTCACTGTTCAACTCCCACTTATAAGTGAGAATATGTGGTGTTCAGTTTTCTGTTACTGTGTTAGTTTGCTGAGAATGATAGTTTCCAGCTTCATCCATGTCCCTGCAAAGGACATGAACTCATTCTTTTTTATGGCTGCATAGTATTCCATTGTGTATATGTGCCACATTTTCTTTATTCACTCTATCATTGTTGGGCATCTGGGTTGGTTCCAAGTCTATGCTATTGTAAACAGCGCTGCAATAAACATATGTGTGCATGTGTCTTTATAATAGAATGATTTATAATCCTTTGGGTATACACCCAGTAATGGGATTGCTGGGTCAAATGGTATTTCTGGTTCTAGACCCTTGAGGAATCGCCACACTGTCTTCAACAATGGTTGAACTAATTTACACTCCCACCAACAATATAAAAGTGTTCCTATTTCTCCACATCCTCTCCAACATCTATTGTTTCCTGACTTTTTAATGGATCGCCATTCTAACTGGCATGAGATGGTATCTCATTGTGGTTTCGATTTGCATGTCTCTAATGACCAATGATGATGAGCTTTTTTTCATGTTTGTTGGCAGCAAAAATGTCTTCTTTTGAGAAGCGTCTGTTTATATCCTTCACCCACTTGTTGATGGGGTTGTTTTTTTCTTGTAAATTTGTTTAAGTTCCTTGTAGATTCTGGATATTAACCCTTTGTCAGATGAGTAGATTGCAAAAATTTTCTCCCATCTGTAGGTTGCCTATTCACTCTGATGATAGTTTCTTTTGCTGTGCAGAAGCTCTTTAGTTTAATTAGATCCCATTTGTCAATTTTGGCTTTTGTTGCAATTACTTTTGGTGTTTTAGTCATGAAGTCTTTGCCCATGCCTAAGTCCTGAATAGTATTGCCTAGGTTTTCTTGTAGGGTTTTTATGGTTTTAGGTGTTATGTTTAAGTCTTTAATCCATCTTATATTAATTTTTGTATAATGTGTAAGATAGGGGTTCAGTTTCAGTTTTCTGCATATGGCTAGCCTGTTTTTCCAACATGATTTATTAAATAGGGAATCCTTTCCCCATTGCTTGTTTTTGTCAGGTTTGTCAAAGATCAGATGGTTGTAGATGTGTGGTGTTATTTCTGAGGCTTCTGTTCTGTTCCATTGGCCTATATATCTGTTTTGGTACCAGTACCATGCTGTCTTAGTTACTGTAGCCTTGTAGTATAGTTTGAAGTCAGGTAGCATGATGCCTCCAGCTTTGTTCTTTTTGCTTAGCATTGTCTTGGCTATACAGGTTCTTTTTTGGTTTCATATCAAATTTAAAGTAGTTTTTCTAATTCTCTAAAGAAACTCAATGGTAGTTTGACAGAAATAGCATTGAATCTATAAACTACTGTGGGCAGTGTGGCCATTTTCACAATATTGATTTTTCCTATCCATGAGCATGGAATGTTTTCCCATTTCTTTGTGTCCTCTCTTGTTTCCTTGAGCAGTGGTTTGTCGTTCTCCTTGAAGAGGTCCTTCACTTCTCTTGTAAGTTGGATTCCTAGGTATTTTATTCTCTTTGTAGCAATTATGAATGGCAGTTCACTCATGATTTGGCTCTGTTTGTCTATTACTGGTGTGTAGTAATGCTTGTGATTTTTGCACATTGACTTTCTATCCTGAGACTTTGCTGCAGTTGTTTATCAGCTTAAAGAAATTTTGGGCTGAGATGATGGGGCTGTCTAAATATACAATCATGTCATCTGCAAACAGAGACAATTTGACTTCCTCTCTTCCTATTTGAATACCCTTTATTTCTTTCTCTTGCCTGACTGCCCTGGCCAGGACTTCCAATACTGTGTTGAATAGGAGTGGTGAGAGAGGGCATCCTTGTCTTGTGCCGGTTTTCAAAGGAAATGTTTCCCGCTTTTGCCCATTCAGTATGATATTGGCTGTGGGTTTGTCATAAATAGCTCTTATTATTTAGAGATATGTTCCATCAACACCTAGCTTATTGAGTGCTTTTAGCATGAAGGGGTTTTGAATTTTATCGAAGGCCTTTTCTGCAACTATTGAGATAATCATGTGGTTTTTGTCATTGGTTCTGTTTATGTGATGGATTACGTTTATTGACTTGTGCATGTTGAACCAGCCTTGCATCCCAGGGATGAAGGTGACTTGATCATGGTGGATAAGCTTTTTGATGTGCTGCTGGATTCGGTTTCCCAGTATTTTGTTGAAGATTTTTGCATTGATGCTCAAGGGACACTGGCCTGAAATTTTTGTTGTTGTTGTCTCTGCCAGGTTTTAGTATCAGGATGACGCTGGCCCATAAAATGAGTTAGGTAGGAGTCCCTCTCTTTCTATTGTTTGGAATAGTTTCAGAAGGAATGGTACCAGCTCCTCTTTGTACCCCTGGGAGAATTCGGCTGTGAATCCGTCTGATCCTGGGCTCTTTTTGTTTGGTAGGCTATTAACTACTGTCTCAATTTCAGAACTTGTTATTAGTCTATTCAGGGATTCGACTTCTCCTGGTTTAGTCTTGGGAGTGTGTATGTGTCCAGGAATTTATCCATTTCTTCTAGATTTTCTAGTTTACTTGTTTAGAGGTGTTTATAGTATTCTCCAATGGTAGTTTGTGTTTCTGTGGATCAGTGGTGATCTCCCCTTTATCTTTTTTATTGTGTCTATTTGATTCTTCTCTCTTTATTTCTTTGTTTGTCCGGCTACTAGTCTATCTATTTTGTTAATCTTTTCAAAAAACCAGCTCCTGGATTCATTGATTTTTTGAAGGGTTTTTCGAGTCTCTATCTCCTTCAGTTCTGCTCTGATCTTAGTTATTTCTTGTCTTCTGCTAGTCTTTGAATTTGCTCTTGTTTCTCTAGTTGACTTTTAATTGTGATGTTACGGTGTCAATTTTCTCATGTGGGCATTTAGTACTATAAATTTCCCTCTAAACACTGCTTTAGCTGTGTCCCAGAGATTCTGGTATGTTGTGTCTTTTTTCTCATTTGTTTCAAAGAACTTATTTATTTCTGCCTTAATTTCGTTATTTACCCAGTAGTCATTCAGGAGTAGGTTGTTCAGTTTCCATGTAGTTCTGCGGTTTTGAGTGAGTTTCTTAATCCTGAGTTCTAATTTAATTGCACTGTGGTCTGAGAGACTGTTTGTCATGATTTCCATTCTTTTGCATTTGCTGAGGAGTGTTTTACTTCTAATTATGTGGTCAATTTTAGAATAAGTGCTATGTGGTGCTAAGAATGTATATTCTGTTGATTTGGGGTGGATAATTTTGTAGACATCTATTAGGTCTGCTTGGTCCAGAGCTCAGTTCAAGTCCTGAATATCCTTGTTAATTTTCTGTCTTGTAAATATCTGTCTAATATTGACAGTGGGGTGGTAAAGTCTCCCACTATTATTGTGTGGGAGTCTAAGTCTCTTTGTTGGTCTCTAAGAACTCACTTTATGAATCTGTGTGCTCCTATATTGGGTGCATATATATTTAGGATAGTTAGCTATTCTTGTTGCATTGATCCCTTTACCATTATGTAATGCCCTTCTTTGTCTCTGATGATCTTTGTTGGTCTAAAGGCTGTTTTATCAGACAGTAGGATTGCAACTCCTGCATTTTTTTGTTTTCCATTTGCTTGGTAAATATTCCTCCATCCCTTTATTTTAAGCCTATGTGTGTTTTTGCACATGAGTAGGTTCTCCTGAATACAAGCACACTGATGGGTCTTGACTCTTTATCCAACTTGCCAGTCTGTGTCTTTTAATTGGGGCATTTAGCCCATTTACATTTAAGGTTAATATTATTATGTGTGAATTTAACCCTGTCATTATGATGCTAGCTGGTGATTTTGCACATTAGTTGATGCAGTTTCTTTATAGTGTTGATGGTCTTTACATTTTGGTATGTTGTTGCAGTGGCTGGTAATGGTTTTTCCTTTCCATATTTAGTGCAGCCTTCAGGAGCTCTTGTAAGGCAGGCCTGGTGATGACAAAATCTCTCAGCATTTGTTTGTCTGTAAAGGATTTTATTTCCCCTTCAATTATGAAGCTTAGTTTGGCTGGATATGCAATTCTGGGTTGAAAACTCTTTTCTTTAAGAATGTTGAATGTTGGCCCCCACTCTCTTCTGGCTTGCAGGGTTTCTGCAGAGAGATCCGCTGTTACTCCAATGGACTTCTTGTTGTGGGTAACCTGACCTTCCTCTCTGGCTGCCCTTAACATTTTTTCCTTCATTTCAACCTTGGAGAATCTAACAATTGTGTGTCTTGGGGTTGGTCTTCTCAAGGAGTATCTTAGTGGTGTTCTCTGTATTTCCTAAATTTGAATGTTGCCCTGTCTTGCTAGGTTGGGGAAGTTATCCTGGATAATATCCTGAAGTGTTTTCCAACTGGGTTCCATTCTCCCTGTCACTTTCAGGTATATCAATCAAACATTGGTTTGGTCTTTTCACACAGTCCCATATTTCATGGAGGCTTTGTTCATCCCTTTTCATTCTTTTTTCTCTCATCTTGTCTTCACACTTTATTTTCATTTGATCTTCCATCTCTGATATCTTTACTTCCACTTGATTGATTCGGCTATTGATACTTGAGGATGCTTCATGAAGTTCTCATGCTGTGTTTTTCAGCTCCATCAGGTTATTTATGTTCTTCTCTAAATTGGTTATTCTAGTTAGCCATTCCTGTAACCCTTTATCAAGGTTCTTAGCTTCCTTGCACTGGGTTAGAATATGCTCCTTTAGCTTGGAGGAGTTTGTTATTACCCACCTTCTGAAGACTACTTCTGTCTATTCATCAAATTCATTCTTTGTCCAGTTTTGTTCCCTTGCTGGCAAGGAGTTGTGATTCTTTAGAGGAGAAGAGGCATTCTGGTTTTTGGAATTTTCAGCATTTTTGCACTGTTTTTTCCTCATCTTTGTTTTTTTTAAATCTTCTGTTGATCTTTGATGCTGATGACCTTCAGATGGGGTTTTTGCGTGGGCATCCTTTTTGTTGATGTTGATGTTATTGATTTCTGTTTGTTAGCTTTCCTTCTATCAGTCAGGCCCCTCTGCTGCAGGTGTGCTGGAGTTTGCTGAAGGTCCACCCCAGACCCTGTTTGCCTGAGTAACACCAGAGGAGGCTACAGAGCAGCAAAGATTGCTGCTTGCTCCTTCCTCTGGAAGCATCGTCCCAGAGGGGCACCCGCCAGATGCCAGCCGGAGCTCTCCTGTATGAGGTGTCTGTCGAGCCCTGCTGGGAGGTGTCTCCCTGTCAGGAGGCATGGGGGTCAGGGACCCACCTGAGGAGGCAGTCTGTCCCTTAGCAGAGCTCAAGCATTGTGCTGAGAGATCCGCTGCTCTTTTCAGAGCTGGCAGGCAGGAACGTTTAAGTCTGCTGAAGCTGTGCCCACAGCCTCCCCTTCTCCCAGGTGCTCTGTCCCAGGGAGATGGGAGTTTTATCTATAAGCCCCTGATGGGGGCTGCTGCCTTTCTTTCAGAGATGCCCTGCCCAGAGAGGAGGAATCTACAGAGACAGCTTAACTACAGCGGCTTTGCAGAGCTGTTGGGGGTTCCGCCCAGTTCGAACTTCCTGGCAGCTTTGTTTACACTGTGAGAAGAAAACCACTTACTCAAGCCTCAGTAATGGTTGATGCCCTTCCCCCCACCAAGCTCGAGTGTCGCAGGTCGACTTCAGACTGCTGTGATGGCAGCAAGAATTTCCCGCCAGTGGATCTTAGCTTGCTGGGCAGCTGGGCTCTGTGGAAGTGGGACCTGCTGAACAAGACCACTTGGCTCCCTGGCTTCAGCCCCCTTTCCAGGGGAATGAATGGTTCTGTCTCACTGGCATTCCAGGCACCACTGGGGTACGAAAAAACTCCTGCAGCTAGCTTGGTGTCTGCCCAAACAGCCACCTAGTTTTGTGCTTGAAACCCAGGGCCCTGGTATTGTAGGCACCCGAGGGAATCTCCTGCTCTGCAGGCTGGGAAAACTGGGGAAAAGCATAGTATCTGGGCCGTATAGCACCATCCCTCATGTCATAGTCCCTCAGCTTCCCTTGACAAGGGGAGGGAGTTCCCCGAGCCCTTGAGCTTCCCGGGTGAGGTGACGCCCTACCCTGCTTCTGCAAGCCCTCTGTGGGCTGCACCCACTGTCTAACCAGTCCCAATGAGATGAGCTTGGTACCTCAGTTGGAAATGCAGAAATCACCTGCCTTCTGCGTTGGTCTCCCTGGGAGCTGCAGACTGGAGCTGTTCCTATTTGGCCATCTTGCCCTGAAACCCTAATTGCTTTTTTAGAGTAAGCAACAAACTAAAGATTCCCTCAATCATGACTATAACTTAATATTGTTCTCAATTTAGTAATCAAAACAAAATTAGATAATAGAAATAAGTGATAAATATAGGAAGGGAGAAGACAAATTTAAAATAATTGCAAACAGTATAGTGTCTTCGCTAGACAACATGAAAAATTGGACTGGAAAACTACACTATATACTAGTAAATCACAAAATTTATATACAAAAATAGATAGCTTTTTAGAACACTGTTGAATTATTTTTAAAAAATGATTCTATTTGAAATAACCATTGCAAAAAAGACCTACATATAAATCCAATAATCAAAAAGACATACTATTGTGCTGTAAATATCGACTGAGGAGCATAAAATATTTAAGGAAATGAGTAGACAAATCACTTTCTTGTATGGAATGACTTAATACATTTACCAATTCTATTTCTCTCTCTTACTAGTACAATACAAGTTAAAATACCTAGAAGAGCTTCAAATTGTACATAAGGATTGTAAATTACAATTGAGAAAAAAGGAGAAAAGCCTGGACATTTCTAAGAATAAAAGTTGTAATAATTAAATCAGCTTGTTAAATGGATTTTAAAAACAGACAGATGAATAGAACAGGAGAGAGTCAAAATGAAACCAAGTTCAGATGAGAATTTATTTTATGGCAAAGGTAACGTTCAAATTAGTGGAGAAAGAAAAAGTTACTCAAATTGTCTCAGAAAAATCAGACAACCTTAATCCTCACAAATAGATGAAATATGTAAGCACATACATGTTGGTAGAAGAAAAATAAATTTATATTGTAAGAGTTGGGATGACATTTGGAAGCTGGACATGAAACAGATAAGCAAGAGTAGCCTCCCTGCCATTCCTCAGACACATTAGGCCCCCTGGAAACTCAAGGCCTTTGCATTTACTGAAGGCTTTTCCTAGACTTCTTTCATCAAACCTGCACCAAACAGCCTCATGACTTACTCACTTCCTTCACGTTTTTATTCAAATGTTATCTTAGTGAGGTCTGTGGTCTCAAATTGCAACCCACACTAATCTCACCCCTCTATTCTGTTTCCTTGCATTAATTTTTCTACTTTAGCACTTGCCACCATCTAACATATTCCATATTATTGTACTTATTTATCTTGTTTATCATCTAACTTCCCCAATGACACAGCAAGCTTCATAAAAGCAAAGATGCTTTTTCTGTTTTGTTCACTTCTCAATGCTTACAAGACTGCCTAAGACATACTAAATGCTCAAAATATATTTTATGAGTAAGAAAAGAATAAAAGGTCAAAGAAATAAGAAAGAAACCTAAAGAAAATGGTGTAAATGAAGCCAAAAAAAGGACAACAACAATAGTGCTATAAGCTGTAGAGAAGCCTAGTTAGACAAGTAGACAAAAGTGCCCATTAAAATAAAAATTACAATATTACTAATCGCTTTGGCAGGACCAGTTTGGGAAGCAATTCTCCATGGGTCTCTTGCATTTCTACACAGGATAGTAGCAGAGATACTGTCTTTTGTTCCAGACTATCTTTTCAAGGATGTCTGTATAGTGACCAGCCTTGGAAGATGTATCTTATAACTCTGGTAGATGGAGATAGTGTCTCCCCTCTGGAGCAAAGGACAGGCATGTTTACTGCCCTTTATTAAAATTTTGGGCTTTCCATCTCTCAGGATCCCTCTTCTGCAACGTGACTCAGTAAGTGTACAGGGTATCAGCTCGCCTCCATCGTGTTCCCTTATGGAAACTGGGGCTCAGAGAATAGGCGCAAAAGCTGTTGAGACTCTGGCTGCTGCTATTTCTGTGAATAATAAATTGACCTTCATCTCTAACTCAGGAGTCTTGGTCTCCTGCCGCATTCATTACACTATTGCAGGCTAGCTTATTAGTAGTGGGCAAGTAGGTAAAATCTCAGACTTTTTCCAGTTCTAGAGAGATAAATGGCAAAAATTAGGACTTTGTATGTATACATCAGCACTAGCAATGATATAGTAATTCAGTTCCACTCAATACAATATCAAATAACACCTTAGAAACATTGCCTCAAATTCCCTTTCACCTAGATGATATTTAGTTGTATAATATTTATGTAGGATAATTCACTGTAGTCATTTATCTGGTTATTATCTAACTCTTAGCCACAAGCAATATCGATACCCTGGCTAGCCCTATGTCCCAGCAGAAAAATGAGGGATACATGCAGCAGAACTTACCAGACTACATGAATACAAAACAGCTGTTAAAGCAATTCCTTCAAATCATGAGTAAAAAATAAATGCTTATTTTTTATGCCACTTTGATTTTAATATTATTGTTATTAAACAGAAGCAATAGCTGACTGTTACGAGACCCAAAATATCAACACCTTCAATGTGATCAAAGTTCATTTCTCCCTTATGTCACATGCTAGAGGGAGGCAATGCAGGGGACAAAAGACAGCTCTGCTGCACAAAATTACCCAAGGACAAAAGGTCGTATTATATTTTTCTCTATTTTCCCCCCAAAATCATCTTTATCTCTTGTTCCAAGATAGCTTAATACCTTACCTATGTTTCAAAAAATTTAGTATGGAGAAAGGGAGGCAGAAAGGCAATACACTTTACTTTTAAATCCCACATTTTGGCCAGGCACGGTGGCTCACACCTGTAATCCCAGCACTTTGGGAGGCCAAGGCGGGTGGATCATGAGGT